>NC_000005.10:49591469-49592920 GCF_000001405.40 Homo sapiens
GCTTTGAGGCCAAGGCAGAAAGGAAATATCTTCGTATAAAAACTAGACAGAATCATTCTCAGAAACTGCTCTGTGATGTGTGCGTTCAACTCTCAGAGTTTAAATTTTCTTCTCATTCAGCAGTTTGGAAACACTCTGTTTGTAAAGTCTGCACGTGGATAATTTGACCACTTAGAGGCCTTCGTTGGAAACGGGTTTTTTTCATGTAAGGCTAGACAGAAGAATTCTCAGTAACTTCCTTGTGTTGTGTGTATTCAACTCACAGAGTTGAAAGACCCTTTACACAGAGCAGACTTGAAACACTCTTTTTGTGGAATTTGCAAGTGGAGATTTCAGCCGCTTTGAAGTCAAAGGTAGAAAAGGAAATATCTTCGTATAAAAACTAGATAGAATGATTCTCAGAAACTCCTTTGTGATGTGTGCGTTCAACTCACAGAGTTTAACCTTCCTTTTCATAGAGCAGTTAGGAAACACTCTGCTTGTAAAGTCTGCAAGTGGATATTCAGACCTCTTTGAGGCCTTCCTTGGAAACGGGATTTTTTCATATAAGGCTAGACAGAAGAATTCCCAGTAACTTCCTTGTGTTGTGTGTATTCAACTCACAGAGTTGAACTTTCATTTACACAGAGCAGATTTGAAACACTCTTTTTGTGGTATTTGCAAGTGGAGATTTCAGCCGCTTTGATGTCAATGATAGAAAAGGAAATATCTTCGTATAAAAACTAGACAGAATCATTCTCAGAAACTTCTTTGTGATGTGCGCGTTCAACTCACAGAGTTCAACCTTTCTTTTCATAGAGCAATTAGGAAACACTCTGTTTGTTAAGTCTGCACGTGGATATTTTGACCCCTCAGAGGCGTTCGTTGGAAACGGGTTTTTTTCATGTAAGGCTAGACAGAAGATTTCTCAGTAACTTCCTTGTGTTGTGTGTATTCAACTCACAGAGTTGAACGATCGTTTACACAGAGCAGATTTGAAACACTCCTTTTGTGCAATTTGCAAGTGGAGATTTCAAGCGCTTTAAGGTCAATGGCAGAAAAGGAAATATCTTCATTTCAAAACTAGACAGAATCATTCCCACAAACTGCGTTGTGATGTGTTCGTTCAACTCACAGGGTTTAACCTTTCTTTTCACAGAGCAGTTAGGAAACACTCTGTTTGTAAAGTCTGCACGTGGATATTTTGACCTCTTTGAGGCCTTCGTTGGAAACGGGTTTTTTCATACAAGGCTAGACAGAAGAATTCTCAGAAACTCCCTTGTGTGGTGTGTATTCAACTGACAGAGTTGAACTTTCATTTAGACAGAGCAGATTTGAAACCCTCTTTATGTGGAATTGGCAAGTGGAGATTTCAAGCGCTTTGAGACCAAAGGCAGAAAAGGAAATATCTTCGTATCAAAACTAGACAGAATCATTCCCACAAACTGCGTTGTGATGTGTCGTTCAACTCA
>NC_000005.10:49599323-49600986 GCF_000001405.40 Homo sapiens
TTAACCCTTCTTTTCATAGAGCAGTAGGAAACACTCTGTTTGTAAACTCTGCAAGTGGATATTCAGACTAGAAAGTGTTACATCACCTGGGTGATCAGTGTAGAGATATGTCACAATGTCCCCTGTAGGCAAAGCCTAGTCAAGTGTTACATCGCCTTTGTCATCAGTTCAGGGATATGTGAAAACGCCCCTGGAGGCAGGGCCTAGACAACAGTTATAACCCCTAATTATCAATGCGGAGATATTTCACAATACTCCTGTAGGCAGATGCTAGACAAGAGTTGAATCACCTGGGTGATCAGTGCAGAGATATGTCACAAAGCTCCTGTAGGCAGAACTTAGATGAGTTACATCTCTTGGGTGATCAGTGCAAAGCTATGTCACAAAGCTCCCTGAATGCAAAGCCTAGACAATATTTACATCACTTACTTGGGTGATCAGTGGCTATATCTCTCACAATTCCCCTGAAGGCAGAGCTTATACAACACTTACATCACCTGAGTGATCAGTGTAGAGGTACGTCACTGTGCCCCCATAGGCAGATCCAAGACAAGAGTCCGTCACCTAGGTGATCAGTGCAGAGATATGTGAGAATTCCCGTGTAGGCAAAGCCTAGACAAGTGTTACACAATCTAGGTTATCAGTGCCACTATAAATCCTAAAGCATCCTGTAAGCAGAGCATAGACAAGAGTACCCTCCCCAGAGTGATAAGTGCAGAGATGTGTCACAAAGCCCATTTAGGCAGAGCCTAGACAAGAGTTTCATCACTTGTTTGATCAGTTCAGAGATGTGTCACAATGTCCATGTAGGCAGATCTAAGACAAGAGTCCATCACCTGGGTGATCAGTGAAGAGATATGTACTAATATCCCCTGTAGTCAGTGCCTAGACAAGAGTTGCATCACCTCAGAGATCATTGCAGAGATATATCACAAAGTCTTCTGTAGGCAAAGCCCATACAAGGCTTACATCACCTAGGTGATCAATACAGTGATATGTCTCAAAAGTCCCTGTAGACAGAGCCTATAAAAGAGTTACATCACCTGGTTGATCAGTGCAGATATTTGACACAATACCCCCATGGACAGAACCTAGACAAGACTTCCATCACCTGGGTGACCAGTGCAGAGATATGTCACAAATCCCCCTGTAGGCAGAGTATAGAGAAGAGTCCCATCACCTGGGTGATCAGTGAAGTGATATTTCACAAAGCCCCTGTGGGCAGAGTGGTCAAGAGTTACATAACCTATGTGATCTGTGCAGAGTTATGTCAAAACGCCCCTGTAGGCAGAGCCCAGATAAATGTTACATCACCTGGGAGATCAGTACAGACATACGTCACAATACCCCCTGTAAGTGGAGCCTAGACAAGAGTTAGACCACCTGGGTGATCAGTGCAGAGATACGTCACAATAACCCCTGTAGGTGGAGCCTAGACAAGAATTACATCTCCTGGGTGATCAGTGCAGAAATATGTCACAAACCCGTGTAGGCCGACCAAGACAAGAGTTACATCTCCTGGGTGATCAGTGCAAAGATATGTCACAAAGCCCCCTGTAGACAAATCCCAGAAAATTGGTACATCACCTGGTCGATCAGTGGACATATCTGTCACAATCCCCTTTAGGCACAGCTTAGACAAGCGTTACATCAGATGAGTGAT
>NC_000005.10:49601086-49603131 GCF_000001405.40 Homo sapiens
TCGGGTGGATGGAATGGAATGGAATGGATTGGAATGGAATGCAATGGAATGGAATGGAATGGAATGGAATCATTCCGAGTGGAATGGAAGTGAATGTAATCGAGTGGAATGGAAAGGAATGGAATCAACACCAGCGCAATGGAATGGAATGGAATGGAATGGAATGGAATGGAATGGAATGGAATTGTGTGGAATGGAATGGAATGGAATGGATTGGAATGGAATGCAATGGAAGGGAATGGAAGTGAATGGAATGGAATGGAATCCTTCCAAGTGGAATGGAACGCAATGTAATCCAGTGGAATGGAAATGGAATCCACATGAGTGGAATGGAAGGGAATGGAATGGAATGGAAAGGAATGGAATGGAATCACCACCAGTGGAATGGAATGGAAACCAATGGAATGGAATGGATGGAATGGAATGGAATGGAATGGAATGGAATCAACCCGAATGGAATGGAAAGGAATGGAATCAACCCGAGTGAAATGGCATGGAATGGAATAGAATGGAAAGGAATGGAATGGAATGGTACGGAATAGAATGGAATGGAACGAAATGGAATGGAATGGAATGGAATGGAATGGAATGTTACGGAATAAAATGGAATGGAACGAAATGGAATGGAATGGGAAGGTATCATTCCGACTGGAATAGAAGGGAATGTATTCGAGTGGAATGGAAAGGAATGGATTCAACCCGAGTGGAATATAAGGGAATGGAATGGAATGGAAAGGAATAGAATGGAATCAACCCGAGAGGAATGGAATGAAAAGGAATGGAATGGAATGGAATCAACTCAAGTGCAATGGAATGGAATGGAATGGAATGGAATGGAATGCAATGGAACGGAATGGAATGGAATGGAATGGAATCAACCCGAATAGAATGGAATGAAATGGAATCAACGAGAGTGGAATGGCATGGAATGGAAAGGAATGGAATGGAATGGAATGGTACGGAATAGAATGGAATGGAACGAAATGGAACGGAATGGAATGGAATGGAATGGAATGGAATGGAAAGGAATCATTCCGAGTTGAATAGAAGGGAATGTATTCGAGTGGAATGGAAACGAATGGAATCACCCCTAGTGGAATGGAAGGGAATGGAATGGAATGGAAAAGAATAGAATGGAAACAACTCAAGTGGAATGGAATGGGAAGGAATGGAATGGAATGGAATGCAATGGAATGGAAACGAATGGAATGGAATGGAATGGAATGGAATCAAATGGAATCAACCCAAGTGCAATGGAATGGAATGGAATGGAATGGAATGGAATGGAATGGAATGGAATCAACCCGAATAAAATGGAATGAAATGGAATCAACCCCAGTGGAATGGCATGGAATGGAAAGGAATGGAATGGAATGGAATGGAATGGTACGGAATAGAATGGAATGGAACGAAATGGAATGGAATGTATTAAACCCGATTGGAATGGAATGGAATGGAATGGAATTGTGTGGAATTGAATAGAATGGAATGGAGTGTAAAGGAATTGAATAGAATCAACCCGAATGGAATGTAATGGAATGGAAAGGAATGGAATGGAATGGAATGGAATGGAATCAACTCGAGTGGAATGCAATGGAATGGAATGGATTGGAATGGAATGCAATGGAAGGGAATGGAAGGGAATGGAATGGAATGGAATCATTCCGAGTGGAATGGAAGGGAATGTAATCGAGTGGAATGGAAATGGAATCAACAGGAGTGGAATGGAATGGAAACGAATGGAATGGAATGGAATGGAATGGAATGGAATGGAATGGAATCAACCCGAGAGCAATGGAATGGAATGGAATGGAATCGAATGGAATGGAATCAACCTGAATGGAATAGAGTGGAATGGAATCAACCCGAGTGGAATGGCATAGAATGGAATGGAATGGAAAGGAGTGGAATGGTACGGAATAGAATGGAATGGAACGAAATGGAATGGAATGGATTCAACCCAATTGGAATGATATGGTATGGAATGGAATGGAATTGTGTGGAATGGAATGGAATGGAATGGAGTGTAAAGGAATTGAATAGAA
>NC_000005.10:49609714-49611721 GCF_000001405.40 Homo sapiens
CACTTGCAGAGTTTACAAACAGAGTGTTTCCTAACTGCTCTATGAAAAGAAAGGTTAAACTCTGTGAGTTGAACGCACACATCACAACGCAGTTTGTGCGAATGATTCTGTCTAGTTTTGAAACGAAGATATTTCCTTTTCTTCCATTGACCTTAAAGCGCTTGAAATCTCCACTTGCCAATTGCACAAAAAGAGTGTTTCAAATCTGCTCTGTCTAAGGGAACGTTCAACTCTGTGAGTTGAATGCACACAACACAAGGAAGTTACTGGGAATTCTTCTGTCTAGCCTTACAAGAAAAAAACCCGTTTCCAAAGAAGGCATCTAAGTGGTCAAAATATCCACGTGCAGACTTTACAAACAGAGTGTTTCCGAACTGCTGAATGAAAAGAAAAGTTAAACTCTGAGAGTTGAACGCACACATCGCAGAGCAGTTTCTGAGAATGATTCTGTCTAGTTTTTATACGAAGATATTTCCTTTTCTGACTTTGGCCTCAAAGCGCTTGAAATCTCCACTTGCAAATTCCACAAAAAGAGTGTTTCAAATCTGCTCTGTCTAAATGAAAGTTCAACTCTGTCAGTTGAATACACACAACACAAGGAAGTTACTGAGAATTCTTCTGTCTAGTCTTATATGAAAAAAAACCGTTTCCAATGAAGGCCTCAAAGAGGTCAAAATATCCACGTGCAGACTTTACAAACAGAGTGTTTCCTAACTGCTCTATGAAAAGAAAGGTTAAACTCTGTGAGTTGAACGCACTCATCTCAAGGGAGTTTCTGAGAATCATTCTGTCTAGTTTTTATACGAAGATATTTCCTTTTCTACCATTGACTTCAAAGCGGCTGAAATCTCCACTTGCAAATTCCACAAAAAGAGTGTTTCAAGCCTGCTCTGTGTAAAGGATCGTTCAACTCTTTGAGTTGAATACACACAACACAAGGAAGATTCTGAGAATTCTTCTGTCTAGCAGAATATGAAGAAATCCCGTTACCAATAAGGCCACAAGATGTCAGAATATCAACTTACAGACTTTACAAACAGAGTGTTTCCTAACTGTTCTATGAAAAGAAAAGTTTAACTCTGTGAGTTGAACGAACACATCACAACGCAGTTTGTGGGAATGATTCTGTCTAGTTTTGAAACGAAGATATTTCCTTTTCTGCCATTGACCTTAAAGCGCTTGAAATCTCCACTTGCAAATTGCACAAAAACAGTGTTTCAAATCTGCTCTGTCTAAGGGAACGTTCAACTCTGTGAGTTGAATGCACACAACAAAAGGAAGTTACTGGGAATTCTTCTGTCTAGCCTTACATGAAAAAAACGCGTTTCCAACTAACGCCTCTAAGTGGTCAAAATATCCACGTGCAGACTTTACAAACAGAGTGTTTCCAAACTGCTGAATGAAAAGAAAAGTTCAACTCTGAGAGTTGAACGCACACATCACAGAGCAGTTTCTGAGAATGATTCTGTCTAGTTTTTATACGAACATATTTCCTTTTCTGCCTTTGGCCTCAAAGCGCTTGAAATCTCCACTTGCAAATTCCACAAAAAGAGTGTTTCAAATCTGCTCTGTCTAAATGAAAGTTCAACTCTGTCAGTTGAATACACACAACACAAGGAAGTTACTGAAAATTCTTCTGTCTAGCCCTACATGAAAAAAACCCGTTTCAAACGAAGGCCTCAAAGAGGTCAAAATATCCACTTGCAGACTTTTCAAACAGTGTGTTTCCTAACTCCTCTATGAAAAGAAAGGTTAAACTCTGTGAGATGAACACACACATCACAAAGGAGTTTCTCAGAATCATTCTGTCTAGTTTTTATACGAAGATATTTCCTTTTCTACCATTGACCTCAAAGCGGCTGAAATCTCCACTTGCAAATTCCACAAAAGGAGTGCTTGTAATCTGCTCTGTGTAAAGGATCGTTCAACTCTGTGAGTTGAATACACACAACACAAGGAAGTTACTGAGAATTCTTCTGTGTAGCATAATATGCAGAAATCCCGTTT
>NC_000005.10:49612096-49618994 GCF_000001405.40 Homo sapiens
TATATGAAAAAAACCCGTTTCCAAGGAAGGCTCAAAAGAGGTCAAAATATCCACTTAAAGACATTACAAACAGAGTGTTTCCTAACTGCTCTATGAAAAGAAAGGTTAAACTCTGTGAGTTGAACGCACTCATCTCAAAGGAGTTTCTGAGAATCATTCTGTCTAGTTTTTATACGAAGATATTTCCTTTTCTACCATTGACCTCAAAGCGGCTGAAATCTCCATTTGCAAATTCCACAAAAAGAGTGTTTCAAGTCTGCTCTGTGTAAAGGATCGTTCAACTCTGTGAGTTGAATACACACAACACAAGGAAGTTACTGAGAATTCTTCTGTCTAGCAGAATATGAAGAAATCCCGTTTCCAACGAAGGCCACAAGATGTCAGAATATCCACTTACAGACTTTACAAACAGAGTGTTTCCTAACTGCTCTATGAAAAGAAAGGTTAAACTCTGTGAGTTGAACGAACACATCACAACGCAGTTTGTGGGAATGATTCTGTCTAGTTTTGAGATGAAGATATTTTCTTTTCTGCCATTGACCCTAAAGCGCTTGAAATCTCCACTTCCAAATTGCACAAAAAGAGTGTTTCAAATCTGCTCTGTCTAAGGGAAAGTTCAACTCTGTGAGTTGAATACACACAACACAAGGAAGTTACTGGGAATTCTTCTGTCGAGCCTTACAGGAAAAAAACCCGTTTCCAACGAAGGCCTCTAAGTGCTCAAAATATCCACGTGCAGACTTTAAAAAAAGAGTGTTTCCAAACTGCTGAATGAAAAGAAAAGTTAAACTCTGAGAGTGGAACGCACACATCGCCGAGCAGTTTCTGGGAATGATTCTGTCTAGTTTTTATACGAAGATATTCCCTTTTCTACTATTGACCTCAAAGCGGCTGAAATCTCCACCTGCAAATTCCACAAAAAGAGTGTTTCTAATCTGCTCTGTGTAAAGGATCGTTCAACTCTGTGAGTTGAATACACACAACACAAGGAAGTTACTGAGAATTCTTCTGTCTAGCATAATATGAAGAAATCCCGTTTCCAACGAGGGCCTCAAAGAGGTATGAATATCCACTTGAAGACTTTACAAACAGAGTGTTTCTTAACTGCTCTATGAAAAGAAAGGTTGAACCCTGTGAGTTGAACGCACACATCACAAAGAACTTACTGAGAATCATTCTGTATAGTTTTTAAAAGAAGATATTTCCTTTTCTGCCATTGACCTCAAAGTGGCTGAAATCTCCACTTGCAAATTACACAAAAAGAGTGTTTCAAATCTGCTCTGTGTAAAGGATCGTTCAACTCTGTGAGTTGAATACACACAACACAAGGAAGTTACTGAGAATTCTTCTGTCTAGCAGAATATGAAGAAATCCCGTTTCCAAGGAAGGCCTCAAAGAGGTGTGAATATCCACTTGCAGACTTTACAAACAGAGTGTTTCCTAACTTCTCTATGAAAAGAAAAGTTAAACTCTGTGAGTTGAACGCACACATCACAAAGGAGTTTCTGAGAATCATTCTGTCTAGTTTTTATTCGAAGATATTTCCTTTTCTACCATTGACCTCAAAGCGGCTGAAATCTCCACTTGCAAATTCCACAAAAGGAGTGTTTGTAATCTGCTCTGTGTAAAGGATCGTTCAACTCTGTGAGTTGAATACACACAACACAAGGAAGTTACTGAGAATTCTTCTGTGTATCATAATATGAAGAAATCCCGTTTCCAATGAAGGCCTCAAAGAGGTCTGAATATCCACTTGCAGACTTTACAAACAGAGTGTCTCCTAACTGCTCTATGAAAAGAAAGGTTAAACTCTGTGAGTTGAACGAACACATCACAACGCAGTTTGTGGGAATGATTCTGTCTAGTTTTGAAACGAAGATATTTCCTTTTCTGCCTTTGGCCTCAAAGAGGTTGAAATCTCCAATTGCCAATTCCACATAAATAGTGTTTCAAATCTGCTCTGTCTAAATGAAAGTTCAACTCTGTCAGTTGAATACACACAACACAAGGAAGTTACTGAGAATTCTTCTGTCTAGCCTTATATGAAAAAATCCCGTTTCCAAGGAAGGCCTCAAAGAGGTCAAAATATCCACTTAAAGACATTACAAACAGAGTGTTTCCTAACTGCTATATGAAAAGAAAGGTTAAACTCTGTGAGTTGAACGCACTCATCACAAAGGAGTTTCTGAGAATCATTCTGTCTACTTTTTATACGAGGATATTTCCTTTTCTACCATTGACCTCAAAGCGGCTGAAATCTACACTTGCAAATTCCACAAAAAGAGTGTTTCAAGTCTGCTCTGTGTAAAGGATCGTTCAACTCTGTGAGTTGAATACACACAACACAAGGAAGTTACTGAGAATTCTTCTGTCTAGCAGAATATGAAGAAATCCCGTTTCCAAAGAAGGCCACAAGATGTCAGAATATCCACTTACAGACTTTACAAACAGAGTGTTTCCTAACTGCTCTATGAAAAGAAAGGTTAAACCCTGTGAGTTGAACGAACACATCACAACGCAGTTTGTGGGAATGATTCTGTCTAGTTTTGAAACGAAGATATTTCCTTTTCTGCCTTTGGTCTCAAAGCGCTTCAAATCTCCACTTGCCAATTCCACATAAAGAGTGTTTCAAATCTGCTCTGTCTAAATGAAAGTTCAACTCTGTCAGTTGAATACACACAACACAAGGGAGTTTCTGAGAATTCTTCTGTCTAGGCTTACATGAAAAAAACCCGTTTCCAAGGAAGGCCTCAAAGAGGTCAAAATATCCACGTGCAGACTTTACAAACAGAGTGTTTCCTAACTGCTCTATGAAAAGAAAGGTTAAAATCTGTGAGTTGAACGCACTCATCACAAAGGAGTTTCTGAGAATCATTCTGTCTAGTTTTTATACGAAGATATTTCCTTTTCTACCATTGACCTCAAAGCGGCTGAAATCTCCACTTGCAAATTCCACAAAAAGAGTGTTTCTAATCTGCTCTGTGTAAAGGATCGTTCAACTCTGTGAGTTGAATACACACAACACGAGGAAGTTACTGAGAATTCTTCTGTCTAGCATAATATGAAGAAATCTCGTTTCCAACGAGGGCCTCAAAGAGGTCTGAATATCCACTTGAAGACTTTACAAACAGAGTGCTTCCTAACTGCTCTATGAAAAGAAAGGTTAAACCCTGTGAGTTGAATGCACACTTCACAAAGAACTTACTGAGAATCATTCTGTATAGTTTTTAAAAGAAGATATTTCCTTTTCTGCCATTGACCTCAAAGTGGCTGAAATCTCCACTTGCAAATTACACAAAAAGAGGGTTTCAAATCTGCTCTGTGTAAAGGATCGTTCAACTCTGTGAGTTGAATACACACAACACAAGGAAGTTACTGAGAATTCTTCTGTCTAGCAGAATATGAAGAAATCCCGTTTCCAACGAAGGCCTCAAAGAGGTCTGAATATCCACTTGCAGACTTTACAAACAGAGTGTTTCCTCACTCCTCTATGAAAAGAAAAGTTAAACTCTGTAAGTTGAACGCACACATCACAAAGGAGTTTCTGAGAATCATTCTGTCTAGTTTTTATACGAAGATATTTCCTTTTCTACCATTGACCTCAAAGCCGCTGAAATCTCCACTTGCAAATTCCACAAAAGGAGTGTTTGTAATCTGCTCTGTGTAAAGGATCGTTCAACTCTGTGAGTTGAATACACACAACACAAGGAAGTTACTGAGAATTCTTCTGTCTAGCATAATATGAAGAAATCCCGTTTCCAACGAGGGCCTCAAAGTTGTCTGAATATCCACTTGCAGACTTTACAAACAGAGAGTTTCCTAAATGCTCTATGAAAAGAAAGGTTAAACCCTGTGAGTTGAACGCACACATCACAAAGAACTTACTGAGAATCATTCTGTATAGTTTTGAAAAGAAGATATTTCCTTTCCTGCCATTGACCTCAAAGTGGCTGAAATCTCCACTTCCAAATTGCACAAAAAGAGTGTTTCAAATCTGCTCTGTCTAACTGAACGTTCAACTCTGTGAGTTGAATACACACAACACAAGGAAGTTACCGGGAATTCTTCTGTCTAGCCTTACATGAAAAAAACCCGTTTCCAACGAAGGCCTCTCAGAGGTCAAAATATCCACGTGCAGACTTTACAAACATAGTGTTTCCAAACTGCTGAATGAAAAGAAAAGTTAAACTCTGAGAGTTGAACGCACACATCACCGAGCAGTTTCTGAGAATGATTCTGTCTAGTTTTTATACGAAGATATTCCCTTTTCTACTATTGACCTCAAAGCGGCTGAAATCTCCACCTGCAAATTCCACAAAAAGAGAGTTTCTAATCTGCTCTGTGTAAAGGATCGTTCAACTCTGTGAGTTGAATACACACAACACAAGGAAGTTACTGAGAATTCTTCTGTCTAGCATAATATGAAGAAATCCCGTTTCCAACGAGGGCCTCAAAGAGGTCTGAATATCCACTTGCAGACTTTACAAACAGAGTGTTTCCTAACTGCTATATGAAAAGAAAGGTTAAACTCTGTGAGTTGAACGAACACATCACAACGCAGTTTGTGGGAATGATTCTGTCTAGTTTTGAAACGAAGATATTTCCTTTTCTGCCTTTGGCCTCAAAGAGGTTGAAATCTCCAATTGCCAATTCCACATAAATAGTGTTTCAAATCTGCTCTGTCTAAATGAAAGTTCAACTCTGTCAGTTGAATACACACAACACAAGGAAGTTACTGAGAATTCTTCTGTCTAGCCTTATATGAAAAAATCCCGTTTCCACGGAAGGCCTCAAAGAGGTCAAAATATCCACGTGCAGACTTTACAAACAGAGTGTTTCCTAACTGCTCTATGAAAAGAAAGGTTAAAATCTGTGAGTTGAACGCACTCATCACAAAGGAGTTTCTGAGAATCATTCTGTCTAGTTTTTATACGAAGATATTTCCTTTTCTACCATTGACCTCAAAGCGGCTGAAATCTCCACTTGCAAATTCCACAAAAAGAGTGTTTCTAATCTGCTCTGTGTAAAGGATCGTTCAACTCTGTGAGTTGAATACACACAACACGAGGAAGTTACTGAGAATTCTTCTGTCTAGCAGAATATGAAGAAATCCCGTTTCCAACGAAGGCCACATGATGTCAGAATATCCACTTACAGACTTTACAAACAGAGTGTTTCCTAACTGCTCTATGAAAAGAAAGGTTAAACCCTGTGTGTTGAACGAACACATCACAACGCAGTTTGTGGGAATGATTCTGTCTAGTTTTGAAACGAAGATATTTCCTTTTCTGCCTTTGGTCTCAAAGCGCTTCAAATCTCCACTGGCCAATTCCACATAAAGAGTGTTTCAAATCTGCTCTGTCTAAATGAAAGTTCAACTCTGTCAGTTGAATACACACAACACAAGGGAGTTTCTGAGAATTCTTCTGTCTAGGCTTACATGAAAAAAACCCGTTTCCAAGGAAGGCCTAAAAGAGGTCAAAATATCCACGTGCAGACTTTACAAACAGAGTGTTTCCTAACTGCTCTATGAAAAGAAAGGTTAAAATCTGTGAGTTGAACGCACTCATCACAAAGAAGTTTCTGAGAATCATTCTGTCTAGTTTTTCTATGAAGATATTTCCTTTTCTACCATTGACCTCAAAGCGGCTGAAATCTCCACTTGCAAATTCCACAAAAAGAGTGTTTCTAATCTGCTCTGTGTAAAGGATCGTTCAACTCTGTGAGTTGAATACACACAACACGAGGAAGTTACTGAGAATTCTTCTGTCTAGCATAATATGAAGAAATCTCGTTTCCAACGAGGGCCTAAAAGAGGTCTGAATATCCACTTGAAGACTTTACAAACAGAGTGCTTTCTAACTGCTCTATGAAAAGAAAGGTTAAACCCTGTGAGTTGAACGCACACATCACAAAGAACTTACTGAGAAACATTCTGCATAGTTTTTAAAAAAAGATATTTCCTTTCCTGCCATTGACCTCAAAGTGGCTGAAATCTCCACTTCCAAATTGCACAAAAAGAGTGTTTCAAATCTGCTCTGTCTAACGGAACGTTCAACTCTGTGAGTTGAATACACACAACACAAGGAAGTTACCGGGAATTCTTCTGTCTAGCCTTACATGAAAAAAACCCGTTTCCAACGAAGGCCTCTCAGAGGTCAAAATATCCACGTGCAGACTTTACAAACAGAGTGTTTCCAAACTGCTGAATGAAAAGAAAAGTTAAACTCTGAGAGTTGAACGCACACATCGCCGAGCAGTTTCTGAGAATGATTCTGTCTAGTTTTTATACGAAGATATTCCCTTTTCTACTATTGACCTCAAAGCGGCTGAAATCTCCACCTGCAAATTCCACAAAAAGAGAGTTTCTAATCTGCTCTGTGTAAAGGATCGTTCAACTCTGTGAGTTGAATACACACAACACAAGGAAGTTACTGAGAATTCTTCTGTCTAGCATAATATGAAGAAATCCCGTTTCCAACGAAGTCCTCAAAGAGGTCTGAATATCCACTTGCAGAGTTTACAAACAGAGTGTTTCCTAACTGCTCTATGAAAAGATAGGTTAAGCCCTGTGAGTTGAACGCACACATCACAAAGAACTTACTGAGAATCATTCTGTATAGTTTTTAAAAAGAGATATTTCCTTTTCTGCCATTGACCTCAAAGTGGCTGAAATCCCCACTTGCAAATTACACAAAAAGTGTGTTTCAAATCTGCTCTGTGTAAAGGATCGTTCAACTCTGTGAGTTGAATACACACAACACAAGGAAGTTTCTGAGAATTCTTCTGTCTAGCATAATATTAAGAAATCCCGTTTCCAACGAAGTCCTCAAAGAGGTCTGAATATCCACTTGCAGAGTTTACAAACAGAGTGTTTCCTAACTGCTCTATGAAAAGA
>NC_000005.10:49621605-49628165 GCF_000001405.40 Homo sapiens
ATCCCGTTTCCACGAGGGCCTCAAGGAGGTCTGAATATCCACTTGCAGACTTTACAAACAGAGTGTTTCCTAACTGCTCTATGAAAAGAAAGTTTAAACTCTGTGAGTTGAACGAACACATCACAACACAGTTTGTGCGAATGATTCTGTCTAGTTTTGAAATGAAGGTATATCGTTTTCTGCCATTGACCTTAAATCGCTTGAAATCTCCACTTGCCAATTGCACAAAAAGAGTGTTTCAAATCTGCTCTGTCTAAGGGAACGTTCAACTCTGTGAGTTGAATGCACGCAACACAAGGAACTTACAGGAAATTCTTCTGTCTAGCCTTACATGAAAAAAACCCGTTTCCAACGAAGGCCTCTAAGTGGTCAAAATATCCACGTGCAGACTTTACAAACAGAGTGTTTCCTAACTGCTCTATGAAAAGAAAGGTTAAACTCCGTGAGTTGATCGAACACATCACAACGCAGTTTGAGGGAATGATTCTGTCTAGTTTTTATACGAAGATATTTCCTTTTCTGTCTTTGGCCTCAAAGCGCTTGAAATCTCCAATTGCAAATTCCACATAAAGAGCTTTTCAAATCTGCTCTGTCTAAATGAAAGTTCAACTCTGTCAGTTGAATACACACAACACAAGGAAGTTACTGAGAATTCTTCTGTCTAGCCTTACATGAAAAAATCCCGTTTCCATTGAAGGCCTCAAAGAGGTCAAAATATCCACGTGCAGACTTTACAAACAGAGTGTTTCCTACCTGCTCTATGAAAAGAAAGGCTAAACTCTGTGAGTTGAACGCACACATCACAAAGGAGTTTCTGAGAATCATTCTGTCTAGTTTTTATACGAAGATATTTCCTTTTCTACTATTGACCTCAAAGCGGCTGAAATCTCCACTTGCAAATTCCACAAAAAGAGTGTTTGTAATCTGCTCTGTGTAAAGGATCGTTCAACTCTGTGAGTTGAATACACACAACACAAGGAAGTTACTGAGAATTCTTCTGACTAGCATAATATGAAGAAATCCCGTTTCCAACGAAGGCCTCAAAGAGGTCTGAATATCCACTTGCAGATTTTACAAACAGAGTATTTCCTAACTGCTCTATGAAAAGAAAGGTTAAACTCTGTGAGTTGAACGCACACATCACAAAGGAGTTTCTGAGAATCATTCTGTCTAGTTTTTATTCGAAGATATTTCCTTTTCTACCATTGACCTCAAAGCGGCTGAAATCTCCACTTGCAAATTCCACAAAAAGAGTGTTTCAAGTCTGCTCAAAAGATCGTTCAACTCTGTGAGTTGAATAAACACAACACAAGGAAGTTGCTGAGAATTCTTCTATCTAGCATAATATGAAGAAATACCGTTTCCAACGAAGGCCTCTAAGAGGTGTGAATATCCACTTGCAGAGTTTACAAACAGAGTGTTTCCTAACTGCTCTATGAAAAGAAAGGGTAAACTCTGTGAGTTAAACGAACACAACACAACGCAGTTTGTGGGAATGATTCTGTCTAGTTTTGAAACGAAGATATTTCCTTTTCTGCCATTGACCTTAAAGCGCTTCAAATCTCCAATTGCAAATTGCACAAAAAGAGTGTTTCAAATCTGCTCTGTCTAAATGAAAGTTCAAATCTGTCAGTTGAATACACACAACACAAGCAATTTAAAGGGAATTCTTCGGTCTAGCCTTACATGAAAAAATCCCGTTTCCAACGAAGGCCTCTAAGTGGTCAAAATATCCACGTGCAGACTTTATAAACAGAGTGTTTCCAAACTGCTGAATGAAAAGAAAAGTTACACTCTGAGAGTTGAACGCACACATCGCAGAGCAGTTTCTGAGAATCATTCTGTCTAGTTTTTATACGAAGATATTTCCTTTTCTGCCTTTGGCCTCAAAGCGCTTGAAATCTCCAATTGCAAATTCCACAAAAAGAGTGTTTCAAATCTGCTCTGTCTAAATGAAAGTTCAACTGTGTCAGTTGAATACACACAACACAAGGAAGTTACTGAGAATTCTTCTGTCTAGCATAGTATGAAGAAATCCCGTTTCCAACGATGGCCTCAAATAGGTCAAAATATCCATGTGCAGACTTTACAAACAGAGTGTTTCCTAACTGCTCTATGAAAAGAAAGGTTAAACTGTGTGAGTTGAACGCACACATCACAATGGAGTTTCTGAGAATCATTCTGTCTAGTTTTTATACGAAGATATTTCCTTTTCTACCATTGACCTCAAAGCGGCTGAAATCTCCACTTGCAAATTCCACAAAAAGAGTGTTTGTAATCTGCTCTGTGTAAAGGATCGTTCAACTCTGTGAGTTGAATACACACAACACGAGGAAGTTACTGAGAATTCTTCTGTCTAGAATAGTATGAAGAAATGCCGTTTCCAACGAAGGCCACAAAGAGGTCTGAATATCCACTTGCAGAGTTTACAAACAGAGTGTTTCCTAACTGCTCTATGAAAAGAAAGGTTAAACTCTGTGAATTGAACACACACATCACAAAGGAGTTTCTGAGAATCATTCTGTCTAGTTTTTATACGAAGATATTTCCTTTTGTACCATTGACCTCAAAGCGGCTGAAATCTCCACTTGCAAATACCACAAAAAGAGTGTCTCAAGTCTGCTCTGTGTAAAGGATCGTTCAACTCTGTGAGTTGAATACACACAACACGCGGAAGTTACTGAGAATTCTTCTGTCTAGCATAATATGAAGAAATCCCGTTTCTAATGAAGGCCTCAAAAATGTCTGAATATCCACTTGCAGACTTTTCAAACAGAGTGTTTCCTAACTGCTCTATGAAAAGAAAGGTTAAACTCGGTGAGTTGAACGCACACTTCACAAAGAAGTTTCTGAGAATCATTCTGTCTAGTATTTATACGAAGATATTCCCTTTTCTACCATTGACCTCAGCGCGACTGAAATCTCTACTTGCAAATTCCACAAAAAGAGTGTTTCAAATCTGCTCTGTTTAAAGGATCGTTCAACTCTGTGAGTTGAATACACACAACACAAGGAAGTTACTGAGAATTTTTCTGTCAGGCATAATATGAAGAAATCCCGTTTCCAACGAAGGCATCTAAGAGGTGTGAATATCCACTTGCAGAATATACAAACAGAGTGTTTCCTAACTGCTCTATGAAAAGAAAGGTTAAACTCTGTGAGTTGAATGCACACATCACAAAGAAGTTTCTGAGAATCATTCTGTCTAGTTTTTATACGAAGGTATTTCCTTTTCTACCATTGACCTCAAGGCTGCTGAAATCTCCACTTGCAAATTCCACAAAAAGAGTGTTTCAAATCTGCTCTGTGTAAACCATCATTCAACTCTGTGAGTTGAATACACACAACACAAGGAAGATTCTGAGAATTCTTCTGTCTAGCAGAATATGAAGAAATCCAGTTTCCAACGAAGGCCACAAGATGTCAGAATATCAACTTACAGAATTTACAAACAGAGTGTTTCCTAACTGCTCTATGAAAAGAAAGGTTAAACTCTGTGAGTTGAACGAACACATCACAACGCAGTTTGTGGGAATGATTCTGTCTAGTTTCAAAACGAAGATATTTCCTTTTCTGCCATTGACCTTAAAGCGCTCGAAATCTCCACTTGCAAATTGCACAAAAAGAGTGTTTCAAATCTGCTCTGTCTAAGGGAACCTTCAACTCTGTGTGTTGAATGTACACAACACAAGGAAGTTACTGGGAATTCTTCTGCCTAGCCTTACATGAAAAAAACCCGTTTCCAACGATGGCCTCTAAGTGGTCAAAATATCCACGTGCACACTTTACAAACAGAGTGTTTCCAAACTGCTGAATGAAAAGAAAAGTTAAACCCTGAGAGTTGAACGCACACATCGCAGAGCAGTTTCTGAGAATGATTCTGTCTAGTTTTTATACGAAGATATTTCCTTTTCTGCCTTTGGCCTCAAAGCGCTTAAAATCTCCACTTGCAAATTCCACAAAAAGAGTGTTTCAAATCTGCTCTGTCTAAATGAAAGTTCAACTCTGTCAGTTGAATACACACAGCACAAGGAAGTTACTGAGAATTCTTCTGTCTAGCATAGTATGAAGAAATCCCGATTCCAACGAAGGCCTCAAAGAGGTCTGAATATCCACTTGCAGAGTTTACAAAGAGAGTGTTTCCTAACTGCTCTATGAAAAGAAAGGTTAAACTCTGTGCGTTGAACGTACACATCACAACGCAGTTTGTGGGAATGATTCTGTCTAGTTTTGAAATGAAGATATTTCCTTTTCTGCCATTGACCTTAAAGCGCTTGAAATCTCCACTTGCAAATTGCACAAAAAGAGTGTTTCAAATCTACTCTGTGTAAACGATCGTTCAACTCTGTGAGTTCAATACATACAACACAAGGAAGTTACTGAGAATTCTTCTGTCTAGCCTTACATGAAAAAAAACCCGTTTCCAACGAAGGCCTCAAAGAGGTGAAATATCCACTTGAAGACTTTACAAACAGAGTGTTTCCTAACTGCTCTATGAAAAGAAAGGTTAAACTCTGTGAGATGAACACCCACATCACACAGGAGTTTCTGAGAATCATTCTGTCTAATTTTTATATGAAGATATTTCCTTTTCTATCATTGACATCAAAGCGGCTGAAATCTCCACTTGCAAATACCATAAAAAGAGTGTTTCAAATCTGCTCTGTGTAAATGAAAGTTCAACTCTGTCAGTTGAATACACAAAACACAAGGAAGTTACTGGGAATTCTTCTGTCTAGCCTTATATGAAAAAAACCCGTTTCCAACGAAGGACTCAAAGAGGTCTGAATATCCACTTGCAGACTTAACAAACAGAGTGTTTCCTAACTGCTCTATTAAAAGAAAGGTTAAACTCTGTGAGTTGAACGCACACATCACAAAGGAGTTTCTGAGAATCATTCTGTCTAGTTTTTATACGAAGATATTTCCTTTTCTACCTTTGACTTCAAAGCGGCTGAAATCTCCAATTGCAAATTCCACAAAAAGAGTGTTTCAAGTCTGCTTTGTGTAAAGGATCGTTCAACTCTGTGAGTTGAATACACACAACACAAGGAAGTTACTGAGAATTCTTCTGTCTAGCAGAATATGAAGAAATCCCGTTTCCAACGAAGGCCACAAGATGTCAGAATATCCACTTACAGAATTTACAAACAGAGTGTTTCCTAACTGCTCTATGAAAAGAAAGGTTAAACTCTGTGAGTTGAACGAACACATCACAACGCAGTTTGTGGGAATGATTCTGTCTAGTTTTGAAACGAAGATATTTCCTTTTCTGCCATTGACCTTAAAGCGCTTGAAATCTCCACTTGCCAATTGCACAAAAAGAGTGTTTCAAATCTGCTCTGTCTAAGGGAACGTTCAACTCTGTGAGTTGAATGTACACAACACAAGGAAGTTACTGGGAATTCTTCTGTCTAGCCTTACATGAAAAAAACCCGTTTCCAACGAAGGCCTCTAAGTGGTCAAAATATCCACGTGCAGAATTTACAAACAGAGTGTTTCCAAACTGCTGAATGAAAAGAAAAGTTAAACTCTGAGAGTTGAACGCATACATCGCAGAGCAGTTTCTGAGAATGATTCTGTCTAGTTTTTATATGAAGATATATCCTTTTCTGCCTTTGGCCTCAAAGCGCATGAAATCTTCACTTGCAAATTCCAGAAAAAGAGTGTTTCAAATCTGCTCTGTCTAAATGAAAGTTCAACTCTGTCAGTTGAATACACACAAGAAAAGGAAGTTACTGAGAATTCTTCTGTCTAGGCTTACATGAAAAAAAACCCGTTTCCAACGAAGGCCTCAAAGAGGTGAAAATATCCACTTGCAGACTTTACAAACAGAGTGTTTCCTAACTGCTCTATGAAAAGAAAGGCTAAACTCTGTGAGTTGAACACCCACATCACAAAGGAGTTTCTGAGAATCGTTCTGTCTAATTTTTATATGAAGATATTTCCTTTTCCATCATTGACATCAAAGCGGCTGAAATCTCCACTTGCAAATACCACAAAAAGAGTGTTTCAAATCTGCTCTGTCTAAATGAAAGTTCAACTCTGTCAGTTGAATACACACAACAAAAGGAAGTTACTGAGAATTCTTCTGTCAGCCTTACATGAATAAAAACCCGTTTCCAACGAAGGCCTCAAAGAGGTGAAAATATCCACTTGCAGACTTTACAAACAGAGTGTTTCCTAACTGCTCTATGAAAAGAAAGTTAAACTCTGTGAGTTGAATACCCACATCACAAAGGAGTTTCTGAGAATCATTCTGTCTAATTTTTAAATGAAGATATTTCCTTTTTAACCATTGACCTCAAAGCGGCTAAAATCTCCATTTGCAAATTCCACAAAAAGAGTGTTTCAAGTCTGCTCTGTGTAAAGGATCGTTCAACTCTGTGAGATGAATACACACAACACGAGGAAGTTACTGAGAATTCTTCTGTCTAGCAGAATATGAAGAAATCCCGTTTCTAACGAAGGCCTCAAAGAGGTCTGATTATCCACTTGCAGACTTTACAAACAGAGTGTTTCCTAAATGCTCTATTAAAAGAAAGGTTAAACTCTGTGAG
>NC_000005.10:49630729-49633793 GCF_000001405.40 Homo sapiens
CCACTTGCAGAGTTTACAAACAGAGTGTTTCCTAACTGCTCTATGAAAAGAAAGGTTAAACTCTGTGAGTTGAACGCACACATCACAAAGAAGTTTCTGAGAATCATTCTGTCTAGTTTTTATACGAAGATATTTCCTTTTCTACCATTGACCTCAAAGCGGCTGAAATCTCCACTTGCAAATTCCACAAAAAGAGTGTTTCAAATCTGCTCTGTGTAAACCATCGTTCAACTCTGTGAGTTGAATACACACAACACAAGGAAGATTCTGAGAATTCTTCTGTCTAGCAGAATATGAAGAAATCCCGTTTCCAACGAAGGCCACAAGATGTCAGAATATCCACTTACAGAATTTACAAACAGAGTGTTTCCTAACTGCTCTATGAAAAGAAAGGTTAAACTCTGTGAGTTGAACGAACACATCACAACGCAGTTTGTGGGAATGATTCTGTCTAGTTTTGAAACGAAGATATTTCCTTTTCTGCCATTGACCTTAAAGCGCTTCAAATCTCCACTTGCCAATTGCACAAAAAGAGTGTTTCAAATCTGCTCTGTCTAAGGGAACGTTCAACTCTGTGAGTTGAATGTACACAACACAAGGAAGTTACTGGGAATTATTCTGTCTAGCCTTACATGAAAAAAACCCGTTTCCAACGAAGGCCTCTAAGTGGTCAAAATATCCACGTGCAGACTTTACAAACAGAGTGTTTCCAAACTGCTGAATGAAAAGAAAAGTTAAACTCTGAGAGCTGAACGCACACATCGCAGAGCAGTTTCTGAGAATGATTCTGTCTAGTTTTTATACGAAGATATTTGCTTTTCTACCTTTGGCCTCAAAGCGCTTGAAATCTCCACTTGCAAATTCCACAAAAAGAGTGTTTCAAATCTGCTCTGTCTAAAAGAAAGTTCAACTCTGTCAGTTGATTACACACAACACAAGGAAGTTACTGAGATTTCTTCTGTCTAGCCTTACATGAAAAAAAACCCCTTTCCAACGAAGGCCTCAAAGAGGTGAAAATATCCACTTGAAGACTTTACAAACAGAGTGTTTCCTAACTGCTCTATGAAAAGAAAGGTTAAACTCTGTGAGATGAACACCCACATCACACAGGAGTTTCTGAGAATCATTCTGTCTAATTTTTATATGAAGATATTTCCTTTTCTACCATTGACATCAAAGCGGCTGAAACCTCCACTTGCAAATACCACAAAAAGAGTGTTTCAAATCTGCTCTGTGTAAATGAAAGTTCAACTCTGTCAGTTGAATACACAAAACACAAGGAAGTTACTGGGAATTCTTCTGTCTAGCCTTATATGAAAAAAACCCATTTCCAACGAAGGCCTCAAAGAGGTCTGAATATCCACTTGCAGACTTAACAAACAGAGTGTTTCCTAACTGTTCTATTAAAAGAAAGGTTAAACTCTGTGAGTTGAACGCACACATCACAAAGGAGTTTCTGAGAATCATTCTGTCTAGTTTTTATTTGAATATATTTCCTTTTCTACCATTGACCTCAAAGCGGCTGAAATTCTCCACTTGCAAATTCCACAAAAAGGGTGTTTCAAGTCTGCTCAAACGATCGTTCAACTCTGTGAGTTGAATACACACAACACAAGGAAGTTGCTGAGAATTCTTCTGTCAGGCATAATATGAACAAATCCCGTTTGCGACGAAGGCCTCAAAGAGGTCTGAATATCCACTTGCAGAGTTTACAAACAGAGTGTTTCCTAACTGCTGAATGAAAAGAAAAGTTAAACTCTGAGAGCTGAACGCACACATCGCAGAGCAGTTTCTGAGAATGATTCTGTCTAGTTTTTATACGAAGATATTTCGTTTTCTGCCTTTGGCCTCAAAGCGCTTGAAATCTCCACTTGCAAATTCCACAAAAACAGTGCTTCAAATCTGCTCTGTCTAAATGAAAGTTCAACTCTGTCAGTTGAATACACACAACACAAGGAAGTTACTGAGAATTCTTCTGTCTAGCCTTATATGAAAAAAAACCCGTTTCCAACGAAGGCCTCAAAGAGGTGAAAATATCCACTTGCAGACTTTACAAACAGAGTGTTTCCTAACTGCTCTATGAAAAGAAAGGCTAAACTCTGTGAGTTGAACACCCACATCACAAAGGAGTTTCTGAGAATCGTTCTGTCTAATTTTTATATGAAGATATTTTCTTTTCCATCATTGACATCAAAGCGGCTGAAATCTCCACTTGCAAATACCACAAAAAGAGTGTTTCAAATCTGCTCTGTCTAAATGAAAGTTCAACTCTGTCAGTTGAATACACACAACAAAAGGAAGTTACTGACAATTCTTCTGTCAGCCTTACATGAATAAAAACCCGTTTCCAACGAAGGCCTCAAAGAGGTGAAAATATCCACTTGCAGACTTTACAAACAGAGTGTTTCCTAACTGCTCTATGAAAAGAAAGTTAAACTCTGTGAGTTGAACACCCACATCACAAAGGAGTTTCTGAGAATCATTCTGTCTAGTTTTTATTTGAAGATATTTCCTTTTCAACCATTGACCTCAAAGCGGCTGAAATCTCCATTTGCAAATTCCACAAAAAGAGTGTTTCAAGTCTGCTCTGTGTAAAGGATCATTCAACTCTGTGAGTTGAATACACACAACACGAGGAAGTTACTGAGAATTCTTCTGTCTAGCAGAATATGAAGGAATCCCGTTTCTAACGAAGGCCTCAAAGAGGTCTGATTATCCACTTGCAGACTTTACAAACAGAGTGTTTCCTAAATGCTCTATTAAAAGAAAGGTTAAACTCTGTGAGTTGAACGCACACATCACAAAGGAGTTTCTGAGAATCATTCTGTCTAGTTTTTATACGAAGATATTTCCTTTTCTACCTTTGACCTCAAAGGGGCTGAAATCTCCACTTGCAAATTCCACAAAAAGAGTGTTTCTAGTCTGCTCTGTGTAAAGGATCGTTCAACTCTGTGAGTTGAATACACACAACACAAGGAAGTTACTGAGAATTCTTCTGTCTAGCATAGTATGAAGAAATCCCGTTTCCAACGAAGGCCTCAAAGAGGTCTGTATATCCACTTGC
>NC_000005.10:49641815-49646823 GCF_000001405.40 Homo sapiens
CACTTGCAATTCCAGAAAAAGAGTGTTTCAAATCTGCTCTGTCTAAATGAAAGTTCAACTCTGTCAGTTGAATACACACAACAAAAGGAAGTTACTGAGAATTCTTCTGTCTAGCCTTACATGAAAAAATACCCGTTTCCAACGAAGGCCTCAAAGAGGTGAAAATTTCCACTTGCGGACTTTACAAACAGAGTGTTTCCTAACTGCTCTATGAAAAGAAAGGTTAAACTCTGTGAGTTGAACACCCACATCACAAAGGAGTTTCTGAGAATCATTCTGTCTAATTTTTATAGGAAGATATTTCCTTTTCTATCATTGACATCAAAGCGGCTGAAATCTCCACTTGCAAATACCACAAAAAGAGTGTTTCAAATCTGCTCTGTGTAAATGAAAGTTCAACTCTGTCAGTTGAATACACAAAACACAAGGAAGTTACTGGGAATTCTTCTGTCTAGCCTTATATGAAAAAAACCCGTTTCCAACGAAGGCCTCAAAGAGGTCTGAATATCCACTTGCAGACTTTACAAACAGAGTGTTTCCTAACTGCTCTATTAAAAGAAAGGTTAAACTCTGTGAGTTGAACGCACACATCACAAAGGAGTTTCTGAGAATCCTTCTGTCTAATTTTTATATGAAGATATTTCCTTTTCAACCATTGACCTCAAAGCGGCTGAAATCTCCATTTGCGAATTCCACAAAAAGAGTGTTTCAAGTCTGCTCTGTGTAAAGGATCGTTCAACTCTTTGAGTTGAATACACACAACACGAGGAAGTTACTGAGAATTCTTCTGTCTAGCAGACTATGAAGAAATCCGGTTTCCAACTAAGGCCTCAAAGAGGTCTGAATATCCACTTGCAGACTTTACAAACAGAGTGTTTCCTAACTGCTCTATGACAAGAAAGGTTAAACTCTGTGAGTTGAACGCACACATCATAAAGGAGTTTCTGAGAATCATTCTGTCTAGTTTTTATTCGAAGATATTTCCTTTTCTACCATTGACCTCAAAGCGGCTGAAATCTCCACTTGCAAATTCCACAAAAAGAGTGTTTCAAGTCTGCTCAAAGGATCGTTCAACTCTGAGAGTTGAATACGCACAACACAAGGAAGTTGCTGAGAATTCTTCTGTCAGGCATAATATGAAGAAATACCGTTTGCAACGAAGGCCTCAAAGAGGTCTGAATATCCATTTGCAGAGTTTACAAACAGAGTGTTTCCTAACTGCTCTATGAAAAGAAAGGTTAAACTCTGTGAGTTGAACGCCCACATCATAAAGGAGTTTCTGAGAATCATTCTGTCTAGTTTTTATTCGAAGATATTTCCTTTTCTACCATTGACTTCAAAGCGGCTGAAATCTCCACTTGCAAATTCCACAAAAAGAGTGTTTCAAGTCTGCTCAAAGGATCGTTCAACTCTGTGAGTTGAATACACACAACACAAGGAAGTTGCTGAGAATTCTTCTCTCAGGCATAATATGAAGAAATCCCGTTTCCAACGAAGGCCACAAAGATGTCAGAATATCCACTTACAGAATTTACAAACAGAGTGTTTCCTAACTGCTCTATGAAAAGAAAGTTAAACTCTGTGAGTTGAACGAACACATCAAAACGCAGTTTGTGGGAATGACTCTGTCTAGTTTTGAAACGAAGATATTTCCTGTTCTGCCATTGACCTCAAAGCGCTTGAAATCTCCACTTGCCAATTGCACAAAAAGAGTGTATCAAATCTGCTCTGTCTAAGGGAACGTTCAACTCTGTGAGTTGAATGTACACAACACAAGGAAGTTACTGGGAATTCTTCTGTCTAGCCTTACATGAAAAAAAACCCGTTTCCAACGAAGGCCTCAAAGAGGTGAAAATATCCACTTGCAGACTTTACAAACAGAGTGTTTCCTAACTGCTCTATGAAAAGAAAGGTTAAACTCTGTGAGTTGAACGCACACATCACAAAGGAGTTTCTGAGAATCATTCTGTCTAGTTTTTATACGAAGATATTTCCTTTTCTACCTTTGACTTCAAAGCGGCTGAAATCTCCACTTGCAAATCCACAAAAAGAGTGTTTCAAGTCTGCTCTGTGTAAAGGATTCAACTCACAGAGTTGAATACACACAACACAAGGAAGTTACTGAGAATTCTTCTGTCTAGCATAGTATGAAGAAATCCCGTTTCCAACGAAGGCCTCAAAGAGGTCTGTATATCCACTTGCAGAGTTTACAAACAGAGTGTTTCCTAACTGCTCTATGAAAAGAAAGGTTAAACTCTGTGAGTTGAACGCACACATCACAAAGAAGTTTCTGAGAATCATTCTGTCTAGTTTTTATACGAAGATATTTCCTTTTCTACCATTGACCTCAAAGCGGCTGAAATCTCCACTTGCAAATTCCACAAAAAGAGTGTTTCAAATCTGCTCTGTGTAAATGAAAGTTCAACTCTGTCAGTTGAATACACAAAACACAAGGAAGTTACTGGGAATTCTTCTGTCCAGCCTTATATGAAAAAAACCCGTTTCCAACGAAGGCCTCAAAGAGGTGAAAATATCCACTTGCAGACTTTATAAACAGAGTGTTTCCTAACTGCTCTATGAAAAGAAAGTTAAACTCTGTGAGTTGAACACCCACATCACAAAAGAGTTTCTGAGAATCATTCTGTCTAATTTTTATATGAAGATATTTCCTTTTCAACCACTGACCTCAAAGCGGCTGAAATCTCCATTTGCAAATTCCACAAAAAGAGTGTTTCAAGTCTGCTCTGTGTAAAGGATCGTTCAACTCTGTGAGTTGAATACACACAACACGAGGAAGTTACTGAGAATTCTTCTGTCTAGCAGAATATGAAAAAATCCCGTTTCCAACGAAGGCCTCAAAGAGGTCTGATTATCCACTTGCAGACTTTACAAACAGAGTGTTTCCTAACTGCTTTATGAAAAGGAAGGTTAAACTCTGAGAGTTGAACGCACACATCATAAAGGAGTTTCTGAGAATCATTCTGTCTAGTTTTTATTCGAAGATATTTCCTTTTCTACCATTGACCTCAAAGCGGCTGAAATCTCCACTTGCAAATTCCACAAAAAGAGTGTTTCAAATCTGCTCTGTGTAAATGAAAGTTCAACTCTGTCAGTTGAATACACAAAACACAAGGAAGTTACTGGGAATTCTTCTGTCTAGCCTTATATGAAAAAAACCCGTTTCCAACGAAGGCCTCAAAGAGGTCTGAATATCCACTTGCAGACTTTACAAACAGAGTGTTTCCTAACTGCTATATAAAAAGAAAGGTTAAACTCTGTGAGTTGAACGCACACATCACAAAGGAGTTTCTGAGAATCCTTCTGTCTAATTTTTATATGAAGATATTTCCTTTTCAACCATTGACCTCAAAGCGGCTGAAATCTCCACTTGCAAATTCCACAAAAAGAGTGTTTCAAGTCTGCTCAAAGGATCGTTCAACTCTGTGAGTTGAATACACACAACACAAGGAAGTTGCTGAGAATTCTTCTGTCAGGCATAATATGAAGAAATCCCGTTTCAAACGAAGGCCTCAAAGAGGTCTGAATATCCACTTGCAGAATTTACAAACAGAGTGTTTCCTAACTGCTCTATTAAAAGAAAGGTTAAACTCTGTGAGTTGAACGCACACATCACGAAGGAGTTTCTGAGAATCATTCTGTCTAGTTTTTATACGAAGATATTTCCTTTTCTACCTTTGACTTCAAAGCGGCTGAAATCTCCACTTGCAAATTCCACAAAAAGAGTGTTTCAAGTCTGCTCTGTGTAAAGGATTCAACTCACAGAGTTGAATACACACAACACAAGGAAGTTACTGAGAATTCTTCTGTCTAGCATAGTATGAAGAAATCCCGTTTCCAACGAAGGCCTCAAAGAGGTCTGTATATCCACTTGCAGAGTTACAAACAGAGTGTTTCCTAACTGCTCTATGAAAAGAAAGGTTAAACTCTGTGAGTTGAACGCACACATCATAAAGGAGTTTCTGACAATCGTTCTGTCTAGTTTTTATTGGAAGATATTTCCTTTTCTACCATTGACCTCAAAGCGGCTGAAATCTCCACTTGCAAATTCCACAAAAAGAGTGTTTCAAGTCTGCTCAAAGTAAAGGATTCAACTCACAGAGTTGAATACACACAACACAAGGAAGTTACTGAGAATTCTTCTGTCTAGCATAGTATGAAGAAATCCCGTTTCCAACGAAGGCCTCAAAGAGGTCTGAATATCCACTTGCAGAGTTTACAAACAGAGTGTTTCCTAACTGCTCTATGAAAAGAAAGGTTAAACTCTGTGAGTTGAACGCACACATCACAAAGAAGTTTCTGAGAATCATTCTGTCTAGTTTTTATACGAAGATATTTCCTTTTCTACCATTGACCTCAAAGCGGCTGAAATCTCCACTTGCAAATTCCACAAAAAGAGTGTTTCAAATCTGCTCTGTGTAAACCAACGTTCAACTCTGTGAGTTGAATACACACAACACAAGGAAGTTACTGAGAATTCTTCTGTCTAGCAGTACATGAAAAAATACCCGTTTCCAAAGAAGGCCTCAAGAGGTGAAAATTTCCACTTGCAGACTTTACAAACAGAGTGTTTCCTAACTGCTCTATGAAAAGAAAGGTTAAACTCTGTGAGTTGAACGAACACATCACAAAGCAGTTTCTGAGAATCATTCTGTCTAGTTTTTATACGAAGATATTTCCTTTTCTGCCATTGACCTCAAAGCGCTTGAAATCACCACTTGCCAATTCCACAAAAAGAGTTTTTCAAATCTGCTCTGTCTAAGGGAAAGTTCAACTCTGTCAGTTGAATGCACAAAACACAAGGAAGTTACTGGGAATTCTTCTGTCTAGCCTTATATGAAAAAAACCCGTTTCCAACGAAGGCCTCAAAAAGGTCTGAATATCCACTTGCAGACTTTACAAACAGAGTGTTCCTAACTGCTGAATGAAAAGAAAAGTTAAACTCTGAGAGTTGAACGCATACATCGCAGAGCAGTTTCTGAGAATGATT
>NC_000005.10:49646923-49650573 GCF_000001405.40 Homo sapiens
TCTTTTTGTGCATTGGCAAGTGGAGATTTCAAGCGCTTTAAGGTCAATGGCAGAAAAGGAAATATCTTCATTTCAAAACTAGACAGAATCATTCCCACAAACTGCGTTGTGATGTGTTCGTTCAACTCACAGGGTTTAACCTTTCTTTTCACAGAGCAGTTAGGAAACACTCTGTTTGTAAAGTCTGCACGTGGATATTTTGACCTCTTTGAGGCCTTCGTTGGAAACGGGTTTTTTCATATAAGGCTAGACAGAAGAATTCTCAGAAACTCCCTTGTGTGGTGTGTATTCAACTGACAGGGTTGAACTTTCATTTAGACAGAGCAGATTTGAAACCCTCTTTATGTGGAATTGGCAAGTGGAGATTTCAAGCGCTTTGAGACCAAAGGCAGAAAAGGAAATATCTTCGTTTCAAAACTAGACAGAATCATTCCCACAAACTGCGTTGTGATGTGTTCGTTCAACTCACAGGGTTTAACCTTTCTTTTCATAGAGCAGTTAGGAAACACTCTGTTTGTAAAGTCTGTAAGGGGATATTCTGACATCTTGTGGCCTTCGTTAGAAACGGGATTTCTTCATATTCTGCTAGACACAAGAATTCTCAGTAACTTCCTTGTGTTGTGTGTATACAACTCACAGAGTTGAACGATCCTTTACACAGAGCAGACTTGAAACACTCTTTTTGTGGAATTTGCAAGTGGAGATTTCCGCCTCTTTGAGGTCCATGGTAGAAAAGGAAATATCCTCGTATAAAAACTAGACAGAATGATTCTCAGAAACTCCTTTGTGATGAGTGCGTTCAACTCACAGAGTTTAACCTTTCTTTTCATAGAGCAGTTAGGAAACACTCTGTTTTTAAAGTCTGCACGTGGATATTTTGACCTCTTTGAGGCCTTCCTTGGAAACGGGATTTTTTCATAGAAGGCTAGACAGAAGAATTCTCAGTAACTTCCTTGTGTTGTGTGTATTCAACTGACAGAGTTGAACTTTCATTTAGACCGAGCAGATTTGAAACACTATTTATGTGGAATTGGCAATTGGAGATTTCAAGCTCTTTGAGGCCAAAGGCAGAAAAGGAAATATCTTCGTTTCAAAACTAGACAGAATCATTCCCACAAACTGCGTTGTGATGTGTTCGTTCAACTCACAGAGTTTAACCTTTCTTTTCATAGAGCAGTTAGGAGACACTCTGTTTGTAATGTCTGCAAGTGGATATTCAGACCTCTTTGAGGCCTTCGTTGGAAACGGGATTTCTTCATATTATGCTACACAGAAGAATTCTCAGTAACTTCCTTGTGTTGTGTGTATTCAACTCACAGAGTTGAACGATCCTTTACACAGAGCAGATTAGAAACACTTCTTTTGTGGAATTTGCAAGTGGAGATTTCAGCCGCGTTGAGGTCAATGGTAGAAAAGGAAATATCTTCGTATAAAAACTAGACAGAATGATTCTCAGAAACTCCTTTGTGATGTGTGCGTTCAACTCACAGAGTTTAACTTTTCTTTTCATAGAGCAGTTAGGAAACACTCTGTTTGTAAAGTCTGCAAGTGGATATTCATACCTCTTTGAGGCCTTCGTTGGAAACGGGATTTCTTCATATTCTGCTAGACAGAAGAATTCTCAGTAACTTCCTTGTGTTGTGTGTATTCAAGTCACAGAGTTGAACGATCCTTTACACACAGCAGATTTGAAACACTCTTTTTGTGTAATTTGCAAGTGGAGATTTCTGCCACTTTGAGGTCAATGGCAGAAAAGGAAATATCTTCTTTTAAAAACTATACAGAATGATTCTCAGTAAGTTCTTTGTGATGTGTGCGTTCAACTCACAGGGTTTAACCTTTCTTTTCATAGAGCACTTAGGAAACACTCTGTTTGTAAAGTCTGCAAGTGGATATTCAGACCTCTTTGAGGCCCTCGTTGGAAACGGGATTTCTTCATATTATGCTAGACAGAAGAATTCTCAGTAACTTCCTTGTGTTGTGTGTATTCAACTCACAGAGTTGAACGATCCTTTACACAGAGCAGATTAGAAACACTGTTTTTGTGGAATTTGCAGGTGGAGATTTCAGCCGCTTTGAGGTCAATAGTAGAAAAGGGAATATCTTCGTATAAAAACTAGACAGAATCATTCCCAGAAACTGCTCGGCGATGTGTGCTTTCCACTCTCAGAGTTTAACTTTTCTTTTCATTCAGCAGTTTGGAAACACTCTTTTTTTAAAGTCTGCACGTGGATATTTTGACCTCTTAGAGTCCTTCGTTGGAAACGGGTTTTTTTCCTGTAAGGCTAGACAGAAGAATTCCCAGTAACTTCCTTGCGTTGTGTGCATTCAACTCACAGAGTTGAACGTTCCCTTAGACAGAGCAGATTTGAAACACTGTTTTTGTGCAATTTGCAAGTGGAGATTTCAAGTGCTTTAAGGTCAATGGCAGAAAAGGAAATATCTTCGTTTCAAAACTAGACAGAATCATTCCCACAAACTGCGTTGTGATGTGTTCGTTCAACTCACAGATTTAAACTTTTCTTTTCATAGAGCAGTTAGGAAACACTCTGTTTGTAAAGTCTGTAAGTGGATATTCTGACATCTTGTGGCCTTATTGGAAACGGGATTTCTTCATATTCTGCTAGACAGAAGAATTCTCAAAATCTTCCTTGTGTTGTGTGTATTCAACTCACAGAGTTGAACGATCCTTTACACAGAGCAGGCTTGAAACACACTTTTTTTGGAATTTGCAAGTGGAGATTTCAGCCGCTTTGAGGTCAATGGTAGAAAAGGAAATATCTTCGTATAAAAACTAGACAGAATGATTCTCAGAAACTCCTTTGAGATGAGTGCGTTCAACTCACAGAGTTTAACCTTTCTTTTCATAGAGCAGTTAGGAAACACTCTGTTTGTAAAGTCTGCACGTGGATATTTTGACCTCTTTGAGGCCTTCTTTGGAAACGGGTTTTTTTCATATAAGACTAGACAGAAGAATTCTCAGTAACTTCCTTGTGTTGTGTGTATTCAACTGACAGAGTTGAACTTTCATTTAGACCGAGCAGATTTGAAACACTCTTTTTGTGGAATTTGCAAGTGGAGATTTCAAGCGCTTTGAGGCCAAAGGCAGAAAAGGAAATATCTTCGTATAAAAACTAGACAGAATCATTCTCAGAAACTGCTCTGCGATGTGTGCGTTCAACTCTCAGAGTTTAACTTTTCTTTTCATTCAGCAGTTTGGAAACACTCTGTTTGTAAAGTCTGCAAGTGGATGTTTTGACCACTTAGAGGCCTTCGTTGGAAACGGGTTTTTTTCATGTAAGGCTAGACAGAAGAATTCCCAGTAACTTCCTTGTGTTGTGTGCATTCAACTCACAGATTTGAACGTTCCCTTAGACAGAGCAGATTTGAAACACTCTTTTTGTGCAATTGGCAAGTGGAGATTTCAAGCGCTTTAAGGTCAATGGAAGAAAAGGAAATATCTTCGTTTCAAAACTAGACAGAATCATTCGCACAAACTGCGTTGTGATGTGTGCGTTCAACTCACAGAGTTTAACCTTTCTTTTCATAGAGCAGTTAGGAAACACTCTGTTTGTAAACTCTGCAAGTGGATATTCAGACTAGAAAGTGTTACATCACCTGGGTGATCAGTGTAGAGATATGTCACAATG
>NC_000005.10:49656261-49661871 GCF_000001405.40 Homo sapiens
GGTTGATTCAATTCAATTCCTTTACACTCCATTCCATTCCACACAATTCCATTCCATTCTATACCATACCATTCCAATTGTGTTGAATCCATTCCATTCCATTTCATTCCATTCCATTCTATTCTATTCCGTACCATTCCACTCCTTTCCATTCCATTCCATTCCATGCCATTCCACTCGGGTTGATTCCATTCCACTCCATTCCATTCGGGTTGATTCCATTCGATTCGATTCCATTCCATTCCATTCCTCTCGGGTTGATTCCATTCCATTCCATTCCATTCCATTCCATTCCATTCCATTTGTTTCCATTCCATTCCACTCGTGTTTCTTCCATTCCATTCCTTTCCATTCCATTCCATTCCCTTCCATTCCAGTCGTGTTGATTTCATTTCCATTCCACTCGATTACATTTCCTTCCACTCCACTCGGAATGATTCCATTCCATTCCATTCCCTTCCATTCCCTTCCATTGCATTCCATTCCAATCCATTCCATTCCATTCCATTCCACTCGATTTGATTCCATTCCATTCCATTCCATTCCATTCCATTCCATTCCGTTCCATTCCATTCCTTTCAATTCGGGTTGATTCTATTCAATTCCTTTACACTCCATTCCATTCTATTCAATTCCACACAATTCCATTCCTTTCCATTCCATTCCATTCCATTCCATTCCATTCCATTCCATTCCATTCTGGTAGACTCCATTCCATTCCATTCCATTGCATTCCATTCCATTCCATTCTGGTAGATTCCATTCCATTCCATTCCATTCCATTCCATTCCATTCCATTCCATTCCATTCCATTGCATTCCATTCCACTCTGTTTGATTCAGTTCCATTCCATTCCCTTCCATTCCATTCCATTCCATTCCATTCCTTCACATTCCATTCCATTCCATTCGGGTTGATTCTTTTCAATTCCTTTACACTCTATTCCATTCCATTCCATTCCACACAATTCCATTCCATTCCATTCCACTCCAATTCGGTTGAATCCATTTCATTCCATTTCGTTCCATTCCATTCTATTCCGTACCATTCCATTCCTTTCATTTCCTTACCATTCCATGCCATTCCAATCGGGTTGATTCCATTTCATTCCTTTCTATTCGGGTTGATTCCATTCCATTCCATTCCATTCCAATCCATTCCATTCCATTCCATTCCATTCCCATCCGCTCCGTTCCATTCCATCCCATTGCATTCGGGTTGATTCTATTCAATTCCTTTACACTCCATTCCATTCCCTTCCATTCCACACAATTCCATTCCATTCCATTCCATTCCAAGTGGGTTGAATGCATTCTATTCCATTTCGTTCCATTCATTTCTATTCTGTACCATTCCATTCCATTCCATTCTATTCCATTCCATGCCATTCTACTCGGGCTGATTCCATTCCATTCCATTCCATTCCATTCCATTCCATTCCATTCCATTCCATTCCATTCGTGTTGATTCCATTCCATTCCTTTCCATTCCATTCCATTCCCTTCCATTCCACTCGGGTTGATTCCATTCCTTTCCATTCCACTCGATGAATTTCCCTTCTATTCCACTCCGAATGATTCCATTCCATTCCATTGCATTCCATTCCAATCCATTCCATACCATTCCATTCCACTCGAGATGATTCCATTCCATTCCATTCCATTGCATTCCATTCCATTCCATTCCATTCCATTCGGGTTGATTCTATTCAATTCTTTACAATCCATTCCATTCCATTCCATTCCACACAATTCCATTGCATTCCATTCCATTCCATCCCAATTGGGTTGAATCCATTCTATTCCATTTCATTCCATTCTATCCATACCATTCCATTCCATTCCATTGATTCTGTTCCATTCCATTCCATTCGGGTTGATTCTATTCAATTCCTTTACACTCCATTACATTCCATTCCGTTCCACACAATTCAATTCCATTCGATTCCATTCCAATTGGGTTGAATCCATTCCGTTCCATTTCGTTCCATTCCATTCTATTGCGTACCATTCCATTCCATTCCATTCCTTTCCATTCCATGCCATTCCAATCGGGTTGATTCAATTTATTCCATTCTGTTCGGGTTGATTCCATTCCATTCCATTCCATTCCATTCCATTCCATTCCATTCCATTGCACTGGAGTTGATTCCATTCCATTGCATTCCATTCCATTCCATTGCATTCCATTCCATTCCTTTCCATTCCATTCCAATCGGGTTGATTCCGTTCTATTCTTTTCCATTCCATTCCATTCCCTTCCATTCCACTCGGGTTGATTCCATTCCTTTCCATTCCACTCGAAAACATTCCCTTTTATTCCACTCGGAATGATTCCACTCCATTCCATTCCATTCCATTGAATTTCGTTCCATTCCATTCTATTCCGTACCATTCCATTCCATTCCATTCCATTCCATTCCATGCCATTCCACTCGGGTTGATTCCATTCCTTTCCATTACATTCGTGTTAAATCCATTCCATTCCATTCCATTCCATTCCATTCCATTCCATTCGATTCCATTCCATTGCGCTTGGGTTGATTACATTCCATTCCATTCCATTCCACTCCATTCCATTCCATTCCACTCCATTCCATTAGGGTGATTCCATTCCATTCCATTCCATTCCATTCCATTCCATTCCATTCCATTCCATTCCACTCTGTTTGATTGAGTTCCATTCCATTCCATTCCATGCGATTTGATTCCATTCCATTCTATTCCGTTTCATTCCATTCCACGCCATACGATTCCATTCCATTCCATTCGGTACATTCCACTCCATTTCATTCCATCCCATCCATCCCTTCTGGTAGATTCCATTCCATTGCATTCCATTCCATTCCATTCCATTGCACTCGCGTTGATTCCATTCCTTCCATTCCACTCGATTACATTCACTTCCATTCCACTCAGAATGATTCCATTCCATTCCATTCCATTCCATTGCATTCCATTCCATTCCATTCCATTCCGTTCCATTCCATTCCATTCAATTCGGGTTGATTCTATTCAATTCTTTTACACTCCATTCCATTTCATTCCATTCCACACAATTTCATTCCATTCCATACCATACCATTCCAATTGTGTTGAATCCATTCCATTCCATTTCGTTCCATTCCATTCTATTCCGTACCATTCCACTCCTTTCCATTCCATTCCATTCCATGCCATTCCACTCGGGTTGATTCCGTTCCACTCCATTCCATTCGGGTTGATTCCATTCCATTCCATTCCATTCCATTCCATTCCATTCCATTCCATTCCATTGCTCTCGGGTTGATTCCATTCCATTCGATTCCATTCCATTCCATTCCATTCCATTCCATTCCATTCCATTCCATTCGTTTCCATTCCATTCCACTCGTGTTGATTCCATCCCATTCCTTTCCATTCCATTCCATTCCCTTCCATTCCACTCGTGTTGATACCATTTCCATTCCACTCGATTACATTGCCTTCCATTCCACTCGGAATGATTCCATTCCATTCCATTCCCTTCCATTCCCTTCCATTGCATTCCATTCCAATCCATTCTATTCCACTCCATTCCACTCGATTTGATTCCATTCCATTGCATTCCATTCCATTCCATTCCATTCCATTCCGTTCCATTCCATTCCATTCCATTCGGGTTGATTCTATTCAATTCCTTTACACTCCATTCCATTCTATTCAATTCCACACAATTCCATTCCATTCCATTCCATTCCAATCGGGTTGAGTCCATTCCATTCCACTCCATTCCACACAATTCCATTCCATTCCATTCCAATCGGGTTGAATCCATTCCATTCCATTCCATTCCATTCCATTCCATTCCATTGCATTGCACTGGGGTTGATTCCATTCCTTTCCATTCCACTCGATTACATTCACTTCCATTCCACTCGGAATGATTCCATTCCATTCCATTCCATTCCATTGCATTCCATTCCAATCCATTAAATTCCATTCCATTCCACCCGAGTTGATTCCATTCCATTCCATTCCATTCCATTCCATTCCATTCCATTCCATTCTGTTACATTCCATTCCATTCAATTCGGGTTGATTCTATTCAATTCCTTTACACTCCATTCCATTCCATTCCATTCCACACAATTCCATTCCATTCCATACCATACCATTCCAATTGGGTTGAATCCATTCCATTCCATTTCGTTCCATTCCAATCTATTCCGTACCATTCCACTCCTTTCCATTCCATTCCATTCCATGCAATTCCACTCGGGTTGATTCCATTCCACTCCATTCCATTCGGGTTGATTCCATTCCATTCAATTCCATTCCATTCCATTCCATTGCTCTCGGGTTGATTCGATTCCATTCTATTACACTCCATTCCATTCCATTCCATTCTATTTGTTTCCATTCCATTCCACTCGTGTTGATTACATTCCACTCCTTTCCATTCCATTCCCTTCCATTCCACTCGGGTTGATTCTATTCCTTTCCATTCCACTCGATTACATTCCCTTCCATTCCACTCGGAATGATTTCATTCCATTCCATTCCATTCCACTTCATTCCATTCCATTCCACTCCATTCCATTCGGGTGATTCCATTCCATTCCATTCCATTCCATTCCATTCCATTCCATTCCACTCTGTTCGATTCAGTTCCATTCCATTCGATTCCATGCGATTTGATTCCATTCCATTCTATTCCGTCTCATTCCATTCCACGCCATACGATTCCATTCCATTCCATTCCATTCGGGTACATTCCACTCCATTCCATTCCATTCCATTCCATTCCTTTCTGGTAGATTCCATTCCATTCCATTCCATTCCATTCCATTCCATTCCATTCCATTCCATTGCACTCGAGTTGATTCCATTCCATTCCATTACATTCCATTGCATTTGATTCCATTCCACTCCATTCCATTCGGGATGATTCCATTCCATTCCATTCAATTCCATTCCACTCGGGTTGATTGCATTCCATTCCTTTCCATTCCATTCCATTCCCTTCCATTCCACTCCATTCCCTTCCATTCCACTCGGGTTGATTCCATTCCTGTCCATTTCACTCGATTACATTCCCTTCCATTCAACTCGGAATTATTCCAATCCATTCCATTGCATTCCATTCCAATCAATTCCACTCCATTCCATTCCACTCGCGTTGACTCCATTCCATTCCGTTCCATTCCATTCCATTCCATTCCTTTCCATTACATTCCACTCGGGTTGATTCCATTCTATTATTTTCCATTCCATTCCATTCCCTTCCATTCCACTCGGTTTGATTCCATTCCTTTCCATTCCACTCGAAAACATTCCCTTTTATTCCACTCGGAATGATTCCACTCCATTCCATTCCATTCCATTCAATTTCGTTCCATTCCATTCTATTCCGTACCATTCCATTCCATTCCATTCCATGGCATTCCATTCCATTCCATTCCATTCCATGCCATTACACTCGGGTTGATTCCATGCCTTTCCATAACATTCGGGTTGAATCCTTTCCATTCCATTCCATTCCATTCGATTCCATTCCATTGCACTCGGTTTGATTCCATTCCATTCCATTCCATTCCACTCCATTCCATTCCATTCCACTCCATTCCATTCCATTCCACTCCATTCCATT
>NC_000005.10:49666173-49667431 GCF_000001405.40 Homo sapiens
CATTCCATTCCATTCCATTGCACTCGCGTTGATTCCATTCCATTCCATTCCATTCCATTCCATTCCATTCCATTCCATTCCATTCAATTCGGGTTGATTGTATTCAATTTCTTTACACTCCATTCCATTCCATTCCATTCCACACAATTCCATTCCATTCCATACCATACCATTCCAATTGTGTTGAATCCATTCCATTCCATTTCGTTCCATTCCATTCTATTCCGTACCATTCCACTCCTTTCCATTCCATTCCATTCCATGCCATTCCACTCGGGTTGATTCCATTCCACTCCATTCCATTCGGTTTGATTCCATTCCATTCCATTCCATTCCATTCCATTCCATTCCATTCCATTCCATTGCTCTCAGGTTGATTCCATTCCAATCCATTCCATTCCATTCCATTCCATTCCATTCCATTCGTTTCCATTCCATTCCACTCGTGTTGATTCCATTCCATTCCTTTCCATTCCATTCCATTCCCTTCCATTCCACTCGTGTTGATACCATTTCCATTCCACTCGATTACATTGCCTTCCATTCCACTCGGAATGATTCCATTCCATTCCATTCCCTTCCATTCCCTTCCATTGCATTCCATTCCAATCCATTCCATTCCATTCCATTCCACTCGATTTGATTCCATTCCATTCCTTTCCATTCCATTCCATTCCGTTCCATTCCATTCCATTCCATTCGGGTTGATTCTTTTCAATTCCTTTACGCTCCATCCCATTCTATTCAATTCCACACAATTCCTTTCCATTCCTTTCCATTCCATTCGGGTTGAAACCATTCCATTCCATTCCATTCCACTCCATTCCATTCCATCCCATTCCATTCCATTGCATTCGGGTTGATTCCATTCCGTTCCATTCCATTCCATTGCATTCCATTCCAATCCATTCCATTCCATTCCATTCCAGCCGAGTTGATCCCATTCCATTCCATTCCATTCCATTCATTCCATTCCATTCCATTCCATTCCGTTGCATTCCATTCCATTCAATTCGGGGTGATTCTATTCAATTCCTTTACACTCCATTCCATTCCATTCCATTCCACACAATTCCATTCCATTCCATACCATACCATTCCAATTGGGTTGAATCCATTCCATTCCATTTCGTTCCATTCCATTCTATTCCGTACCATTCCACTCCTTTCCATTCCATTCCATTCTATGCCATTCCACTCTGGTTGATTCCATACCACTCCATTCCATTCGGGTTGATTCCATTCCATTCGATTCCAT
>NC_000005.10:49667531-49721203 GCF_000001405.40 Homo sapiens
AGTATTCTCAGCAACTTCTTTGTGACGTTTGCATTCATCTCACAGTGTTGAACATACCTTTTCATAGAGTAGTTTTGAAACACTATTTTTGTAGAATCTGCAAGTGGATATTTGGACTGCGTTGAGACCTTCATTGGAAATGGGAATGTCTTCACATAAACACTAGACAGAAGCATTCTCTGAAACTTCTTTGTGATGTGTGTATTCAACTCACAGAGTTGAACCTTCCTTTTTTATGGAGCAGTTTTGAAACACTGTTTTTGTAGAATCTGCAAGTGGATATTTGGAGCGATTTGAGGCCTATGGTAGAAAAAGAAATATCTTCATATAAATAGTAGACAGAAGTATTCTCAGAAACATCTTTGTGATGTTTGCATTCAACTCACAGAGTTGATCCTTCCTTTTAATAGGGCAGTTTTGCAACACTCTTTTTGTAGAATGCACCAGTGGGCTTTTGGAGCACGTCAAGGGCTATGGTGAAAAAGGAAATATCTTCACATAAAAACTAGACAGAAGTATTCTGTAAAACTCCTTTGTGATGTTTGCATTCAGCTCAGAAAGTTGAACTTCTCTTTATATAGTCCAGTTTTCAAACACTATTTTTGTAGAATCTGCAAGTGGATACTGGGACTGCTTTGAGGCCTTCGTTGGAAACGGGATTATCTTCACATAGAAACTAGACTGAAGGATTCTTAGAAACTTCTTTGTGATGTGTGCATTCAACTCACCGAGTGGAACCTCACTTTTGATAGAGCAGAGTTGAAAGACACTTGTTGTAGAATCTGCATGTGGATATTTGGAGTGCTTTGAAGCCTTCCTTGGAAACGGGAATATCTTCACATAAAAACTAGACATAAGGATTCTCAGAAACTTCCTTGTGATCTGTCCATTCAACACACAGAGTTGAACTTTCCTTTTTATGGAGCCGTTTTGAAACACTGTTTTTGTAGAATCTGAAAGTGGATATTTGGAGCGCTTTGAGGCTTAAGGTAGAAAAAGAAATATCTGCATATCAAAACTAGACAGAAGCGTTCTCAGAAACTTCTTTGTGATGTTTGCATTCAACTACCAGAGTTGAACCTTCCTTTTGATAGAGGAGTTTTGAAATGCTCTTTTTGTAGAATCTGCACGTGGATACCTGGAACGATTTTTGAGACCTATGTCTCAAAAGGAAATATCTTCCTATGAAAAATAGACAAAAGCATTCTCAGAAACTACTTTGTGTTATGTGCATTCAACTCACAGAGTACAACCTTTTTTTTGATAGAGTAGTTTTGAAACACTCTGTAGAATCTGAAAGTGGATATTTGGAGCTCTTTGAGGGCTATGGTGGAAAAGAAAATATATTCACATTAAACTAGCCAGAAGCATTCTCAGAAACTTCTTTATGATGTTTGCATTAAACTCACAGAGTTGAACATACCTTTCCATAGAGCAGTTTTGAAACACTCTTTTTGTGGAATCCGCAAGCGGATATTTGGACCGCTTTGAGACCTTCGCTGGAAATGGGAATGTCTTCACATATAAACTAAACAGAAGCATTCTCAGAAACTTCTTCGTGATGTGTGCATTCTACTCCCAAAGTTGAACCTTCCTTTTCATAAAGCATTTTTGAAACACTCCTTTTGTACAATCTACAATTGGATATTTGGAACGCTTTGATGCCCGTGGTAGAAAAGGAAATCTCCTCATATAAAAACTAGACAGAAGGATTCACAGAAACTGCTTTGTGACGTGTGCATTCAAATCACGGAGTTGGACCTTTCTTTTGTTAGAGCAGTTTTGAAACACTGTTTCTGTGGAATCTGCCAGCGGACATTTGGAGCGCATTGAGGGCTATGGTGGAGAAGGAAATATCTTCACAGAAAAACTAGAAAGAAGCATTCTCGGAAACATCTATGTGAAGTGTGCATTCAACTCACAGAGTTGAACCTTCCTTTTGATAGAAGAGTTTTGAAACACTCTTTTGTACAATTGCAGGTGAATATTTGGAGCGCTTTGAAGCCTTTGTTGGAAATGGGAATATCCTCACATAAAAACTAGCCAGAAGCATTCTCAGAAACTTCTATGTGATGTGTGCATTGAACCCAGAGAGGTGAACCGTTCCTTTGAGAGAGCAGTTTTGAAACGTGTTTTTGTAAGATCTGCAAGTGGATATTAGGGGCGCTTTGAGTCCTTAGGTGGAAACGGGAATATCTTCGAATAAAAACTAGACAGAATGATTCTCAGAATCTTCTTTGTGATGTGGGCATTCAACTAACACAGTTGAACATTTCTTTTGACAGAGCAGTTCTGAAACACTCTTTTTGTAGAATCCGCCAGTGGATATTTGGAGCGCTTTGAGGGCTATTGTGCAAATGGAAATATCTTCACCTAAAAACTAGACCGAAGCAATCCCAGAAACTACTTTGTGATGTTTGCATTCAACTCATAGAGTTGAACCTACCTCTTCATAGAGCAGTTTGGAAAACCTCTTTTTGTAGAATCTGCAAGTGGATATTTGGACCACTTTGAGGCCTTCATAGGAAACAGTACTATCTTCACATAAAAACTAGGTAGAAGCATTGTCAGAAAATTCTTTGTGATGTGTGAATTCAACTCACAGAGTTGAACCTTCCTTTAATAGAGCAGTTTTGAAACACTCTTTTTGTAGAATCTGCAAGTAGATATTTGGAGCGCTTTGAGGCCTTCGTTGGAAACCGGAATATCTTCACATAAAAAGTAGATAGAGGCATTCTCAGAAACTTTTTTTGTGATATGTAGATTCAGTTCACAGCGTTGAACCTTTCTTTTGATAGAGCAGTTTTGAAAAACTCTTTTATCGAGTCTGCAAGTAGACATTTGGAGTGCTTTGAGGGCTGTGGTCGAAAAGGAAATATCTTCACATAGAAACTAGACTGAATCATTCTCAGCAACTTCTTGGTGACGTTTGCATTCATCTCACAGTGTTGAACATACCTTTGCATAGAGTAGTTTTGAAACACTATTTTTGTAGAATCTGCAAGTGGACATTTGGACTGCTTTGAGGCCTTCATCGGAAACGGGAATATCTTCACATAAACACTAGACAGAAGCATTCTCTGAAACTTCTTTGTGATGTGTGTATTCAACTCACAGAGTTGAACCATCTTTTTTATGGAGCGGTTTTGAAACAGTGTTTTTTGTAGAATCAGCAATTGGATATTGGGAGCGCTTTGAGGCCTCTGGTGTAAAGGGAATGTCTTCACATAAAAACTGGACAGAAGCATTCTCAGAAACATCTTTGTGATGTTTGCATTCAACTCACAGAGTTGATCCTTCCTTTTAATAGGGCAGTTTTGCAACACTCTTTTTGTAGAATGCACCAGCGGGCTTTTGGAGCACGTCAAGGGCTATGGTGAAAAAGGAAATATCTTCACAAAAAACCAGACAGAAGTATTCTGTAAAACTCCTTTGTGATGTTTGCATTCAACTCAGAAAGTTGAACTTCTCTTTATATAGTCCAGTTTTCAAACACTATTTTTGTAGAATCTGCAAGTGGATAGTGGGACTGCTTTGAGGCCTTCATTGGAAACGGGATTATCTTCACATAAAAACTAGACATAAGGATTCTTAGAAACTTCTTTGTGATGTGTGCATTCAACTCACCGAGTGGAACCTCACTTTTGATAGAGCAGTGTTGAAAGACACTTGTTGTAGAATCTGCAGGTGGATATTTGGAGTGCTTTGAAGCCTTCCTTGGAAACGGGAATATCTTCACATAAAAACTAGACATAAGCATTCTCAGAAACTCCTTTGTGATCTGTCCATTCAGCTCACAGAGTTGAACCTTCCTTTTGATAGAGCAGTTTTGAAACACTCTTTCTGTAGAGTGTGCAAGTGGATATCAGGAGCGCTTTGTCGCCTATGGCAGAAAAAGAAATATCTGGCTCTAAAAACTAGACAGAAGCGTTCTCAGAAACTTCTTTGTGATGTTTGCATTCAACTACCAGAGTTGAACCTTCCTTTTGATAGAGCAGTTTTGAAACGCTCTTTTTGTAGAATCTGCACGTGGATATCTGGAGCGATTTTTGAGGCCTACGTTCAAAAAGGAAATATCTTCCTATGAAAAACAGACAAAAGCATTCTCAGAAACTACTTAGAGATATGTGCATTCAACTCACAGAGTTGAAACTTTTTTTTGATAGAGCAGTTTTGAAACACTCTGTAGAATCTGAAAGTGGATATTTGGAGCTATTTGAGGGCTATGGTGGAAAAGAAAATATATTCCCATTAAACTAGACAGAAGCATTCTCAGAAACTTCTGTATGATGTTTGCATTAAACTCACAGAGTTGAACATACCTTTCCATAGAGCAGTTTTGAAACACTCTTTTTGTGGAATCCGCAAGTGGATATTTGGACCGCTTTGAGACCTTCGCTGGAAATGGGAATATCTTCACATATAAACTATACAGAAGCATTCTCGGAAACTTCTTCGTGATGTGTGCATTCTGCTCCCAAAGTTGAACCTTCCTTTTCATAAAGCAGTTTTGAAACACTCTTTTGTACAATCTACCATTGGATATGTGGAAGGCTTTGATGCCCATGGTAGAAATGGAAACATCCTCATATAAAATCTAGACAGAAGGATTCACAGAAACTGCTGTGTGATGTGTGCATCGAAATCACGGAGTTGAACTTTTCTTTTGTTAGAGCAGTTTTGAAACCCCGTTTCCGTGGAATCTGCCAGTGGACATTTGGAGCGCATTGAGGGCTATGGTGGAGAAGGAAATATCTTCACATAAAAACTAGAAAGAAGCATTCTCAGAAACATCTATGTGAAATGTGCATTCAACTCACAGATTTGAACCTTCCTTTTGATAGAACAGTTTTGAAACACTCTTTTGTACAATTTTAGGTGAATATTTGGAGCTCCTTGAAGCCTTTGTTGGAATTGTGAATATCTTCACATACAAACTAGCCAGAAGCATTCTCAGAAACTTCTTTGTGATGTGTGCGTTGAACTCAGAGAGATGAACCTTTCCTTTGATAGAGCAGTTTTGAAACGTGTTTCTGTAAGATCTGTATGTGGATATTTGGGGCGCTTTGAGTCCTTTGGTGGAAACGGGAATATCTTCTAATAAAAACTAGACAAAAATATTCTCAGAATCTTCTTTGTGATGAGGGCATTCAACTAACACATTTGAACATTTCTTTTCACAGAGCAGTTTTGAAACACTCTTTTGGTGGAATCTGCCAGAGGATATCTGGAGCGCTTTGAGGGCTATTGTGCCAATGGAAATATCTTCCCCTAAAAACTAGACAGAAGCATTCTCAGAAACTACTTCGTGATGTTTGCATTCAACTCACAGAGTTGAACATACCTCTTCATAGAGCAGTTTTGAAAACCTCTTTCTGTAGAATCTGCAAGTGGATATTCGGACCACTTTGAGGCCTTCATAGGAAACAGTAATATCTTCACATAAAAACTAGATAGAAGCATTGTCAGAAAGTTCTTTGTGATGTGTGAATTCAACTCACAGAGTTGAACCTTCCTTTAATAGAGCAGTTTTGAAACACTCTTTTTCTAGAATCTGCAAGTAGATATTTGGAGCGCTTTGAGGCCTTCGTTGGAAACCGGAATATCTTCACAGGAAAAGTAGATAGAGGCATGCTCAGAAACTTTTTTGTCATATGTAGATTCAACTCACAGCGTTGAACCTTTCTTTTGATAGAGCAGTTTTGAAAAACTCTTTTATCGAATCTGCAAGTAGACATTTGGAGTGCTTTGAGGGCTGTGGTGCAAAAGGAAATGTCTTCCCATAGAAACTAGACTGAAGCATTCTCAGCAACTTCTTTGTGACGTTTGCATTGATCTCACAGTGTTGAACATACCTTTGCATAGAGTAGTTTTGAAACACTATTTTTGTAGAATCTGCAAGTGGATATTTGGACTGCTTTGAGGCCTCTATCGGAAACGGGAATATCTTCACATAAACACTGGACAGAAGCATTCTCTGAAACTTCTTTGTGATGTGTGTATTCAACTCACAGAGTGGAACCATCTTTTTTATGGAGCGGTTTTGAAACAGTGTTTTTGTAGAATCAGCAATTGGATATTTGGAGCGCTTTGAGGCCTCTGGTGGAAAGGGAATGTCTTCACATAAAAACTGGACAGAAGCATTCTCAGAAACATCTTTGTGATGTTTGCATTCAACTCACAGAGTTGATCCTTCCTTTTAATAGGGCAGTTTTGCAACACTCTTTTTGTAGAATGCACCAGTGGGCTTTTGGAGCACGTCAAGGGCTTTGGTGAAAAAGGAAATATCTTCACATAAAAACTAGACAGAAGTATTCTGTAAAACTCCTTTGTGATGTTTGCATTCAACTCAGAAAGTTGAACTTCTCTTTATATAGTCCAGTTTTCAAACACTATTTTTGTAGAATCTGCAAGTGGATACTGGGACTGCTTTGAGGCCTTCGTTGGAAACGGGATTATCTTCACATAAAAACTAGACTGAAGGATTCTTAGAAACTTCTTTGTGATGTGTGCATTCAACTCACCGAGTGGAACCTCACTTTTGATAGAGCAGTGTTGAAAGACACTTGTTGTAGAATCTGCAGGTGGATATTTGGAGTGCTTTGAAGCCTTCCTTGGAAACGGGAATATCTTCACATAAAAACTAGACATAAGCATTCTCAGAAACTCCTTTGTGATCTGTCCATTCAGCTCACAGAGTTGAACCTTCCTTTTGATAGAGCAGTTTTGAAACACTCTTTCTGTAGAGTCTGCAAGTGGATATCAGGAGCGCTTTGAAGCCTATGGTAGAAAAAGAAATATCTGGCTCTAAAAACTAGACAGAAGCATTCTGAGAAACTTCTTTGTGATGTTTGCATTCAACTACCAGAGTTGAACCTTCCTTTTTGATAGAGCAGTTTTGAAACACTCTTTTTGTAGAATCTGCATGTGGATATCTGGAGCGATTTGAGGCCTATGGTCAAAAAGGAAATATCTTCCTATGAAAAACTGACAAAAGCATTCTCAGAAACTACTTTGTGTTATGTGCATTCAACTCACAGAGTACAACCTTTTTTTTGATAGAGCAGTTTTGAAACACTCTGTAGAATCTGAAAGTGGATATTTGGAGCTCTTTGAGGGCTATGGTGGAAAAGAAAATATATTCACATTAAACTAGCCAGAAGCATCCTCAGAAACTTCTTTATGATGTTTGCATTAAACTCACAGAGTTGAACACACCATTCCATAGAGCAGTGTTGAAACACTCTTTTTGGGGAATCCGCAAGTGGATATTTGGACCGCTTTGAGACCTTTGCTGGAAATGGGAATATCTTCACATATAAACTAGACAGAAGCATTCTCGGAAACTTCTTCGTGATGTGTGCATTCTGCTCCCAAAGTTGAACCTTCCTCTTCATAAAGCAGTTTTGAAACACTCTTTTGTACAATCTACCATTGGATATGTGGAAGGCTTTGATGCCCATGGTAGAAAAGGAAACATCTTCATATAAAATCTAGACAGAAGGATTCACAGAAACTGCTGTGTGATGTGTGCATCCAAATCACGGAGTTGAACTTTTCTTTTGTTAGAGCAGTTTTGAAACCCCGTTTCCGTGGAATCTGCCAGTGGACATTTGGAGCGCATTGAGGGCTATGGTGGAGAAGGAAATATCTTCACATAAAAACTAGAAAGAAGCATTCTCAGAAACATCTATGTGAAGTGTGCATTCAACTCACAGAGTTGAACCTTCCTTTTGATAGAAGAGTTTTGAAACACTCTTTTGTACAATTGCAGGTGAATATTTGGAGCGATTTGAAGCCTTTGTTGGAAATGGGAATATCCTCACATAAAAACTAGCCAGAAGCATTCTCAGAAACTTCTTTGTGATGTGTGCGTTGAACCCAGAGAGATGAACCTTTCCTTTGATAGAGCAGTTTTGAAACGTGTTTTTGTAAGATCTGCAAGCGGATAATTGGCTTCGCTTTGTGTCCTTTGTTGGAAACGGGAATATCTTCTAATAAAAACTAGACAGAATTATTCTCAGAATCTTCTTTGTGATGTGGGCATTCAACTAACACAGTTGAACATTTCTTTTGACAGAGCAGTTCTGAAACACTCTTTTTGTAGAATCCGCCAGTGGATATTTGGAGCGCTTTGAGGGCTATTGTGCAAATGGAAATATCTACACCTAAAAACTAGACCGAAGCATTCTCAGAAACTACTTTGTGATGTTTGCATTCAACTCACAGAGATGAACATACCTCTTTATAGAGCAGTTTTGAAATCCTCTTTCTGTAGAATCTGCAAGTGGATATTCGGACCACTTTGAGGCCTTCATAGAAAACAGTAATATCTTCACATAAAAACTAGATTCAAGCATTCTCAGAAACTTCTTTGTGATGTGTGAATTCAACTCACAGAGTTGAACCTTCCTTTAATAGAGCAGTTTTGAAACACTCTTTTTGTAGAATCTGCAAGTAGATATTTGGAGAGCTTTGAGGCCTTCGTTGGAAACCGGAATATCTTCACATAAAAAGTAGATAGAAGCATTCTCAGAAACTTTTTTTGATATGTAGATTCAACTCACAGCATTCAACCTTTCTTTTGATAGAGCAGTTTGGAAAACTCTTTTATCAAATCTGCAAGTAGACATTTGGAGTGCTTTGAGGGCTGTGGTCGAAAAGGAAATATCTTCACATAGAAACTAGACTGAAGCATTCTCAGCAACTTCTTCGTGTCGTTTGCATTCATCTCACACTGTTGAACATACCTTTTCTTAGAGCAGTTTTGAAACATTCTTTTTGTAGAAACTGCAATTGGATATTTGGACTGCGTTGAGGCCTCCACTGGAAACGGGAATATCTTCACATAAACAATAGACAGAAGCATTCTCTGAAACTTCTTTGTGATGTGTGTATTCAACTCACAGAGTTGAACCATCTTTTTTATGGAGCGGTTTTGAAACAGTGTTTTTGTAGAATCAGCAAGTGGATATTGGGAGCGCTTTGAGGCCTCTGGTGGAAAGGGAATGTCTTCACATAAAAACTGGACAGAAGCATTCTCAGAAACATCTTTGTGATGTTTGCATTCAACTCACAGAGTTGATCCTTCCTTTTAATAGGGCAGTTTTGCAACACTCTTTTTGTACAATGCACCAGTGGGCTTTTGGAGCACGTCAAGGGCTATGGTGAAAAAGGAAATATCTTCACATAAAAACTAGACAGAAGTATTCTGTAAAACTCCTTTGTGATGTTTGCATTCAACTCAGAAAGTTGAACTTCTCTTTATATAGTCCAGTTTTCAAACACTATTTTTGTAGAATCTGCAAGTGGATACTGGGACTGCTTTGAGGCCTTCGTTGGAAACGGGATTATCTTCACATAGAAACTAGACTGAAGGATTCTTAGAAACTTCTTTGTGATGTGTGCATTCAACTCACCGAGTGGAACCTCACTTTTGATAGAGCAGAGTTGAAAGACACTTGTTGTAGAATCTGCAGGTGGATATTTGGAGTGCTTTGAAGCCTTCCTTGGAAACGGGAATATCTTCACATAAAAACTAGACATAAGCATTCTCAGAAACTCCTTTGTGATCTGTCCATTCAGCTCACAGAGTTGAACCTTCCTTTTGATAGAGCAGTTTTGAAACACTCTTTCTGTAGAGTGTGCAAGTGGATATCAGGAGCGCTTCGAGGCCTATGGCAGAAAAAGAAATATCTGGCTCTAAAAACTAGACAGAAGCATTCTCAGAAACTTCTTTGTGATGTTTGCATTCAACTACCAGAGTTGAACCTTCCTTTTGATAGAACAGTTTTGAAACGCTCTTTTTGTAGAATCTGCATGTGGATACCTGGAGCGATTTTTGAGACCTATGTCTCAAAAGGAAATATCTTCCTATGAAAAATAGACAAAAGCATTCTCAGAAACTACTTTGTGTTATGTGCATTCCACTCACAGAGTTGAACCTTTTTTTTGATACAGCAGTTTTGAAACACTCTGTAGAATCTGAAAGTGGATATTTGTAGCTCTTTGAGGGCTATGGTGGAAAAGAAAATATATTCACATTAAACTAGACAGAAGCATTCTCAGAAACTTCTTTATGATGTTTGCATCAAACTCACAGATTTGAACATACCTTTCCATAGAGCAGTTTTGAAACACTCTTTTTGTGGAATCCGCAAGTGGATATTTGGACCGTTTTGAGACCTTTGCTGGAAATGGGAATATCTTCATATATAAACTGGACAGAATCATTCTCGGAAACTTCTTCCTGATGTGTGCATTCTGCTCCCAAATTTGAACCTTCTTCTTCATAAAGCAGTTTTGAAACACTCTTTTGTACAATCTACCATTGGATATGTGGAAGGCTTTGATGCCCATGGTAGAAAAGGATACATCCTCATATAAAATCTAGACAGAAGGATTCACAGAAACTGCTGTGTGATGTGTGCATCCAAATCACGGAGTTGAACTTTTCTTTTGTTAGAGCAGTTTTGAAACCCCGTTTCCGTGGAATCTGCCTGTGGACATTTGGAGCGCATTGAGGGCTATGGTGGAGAAAGAAATATCTTCACATAAAAACTAGAAAGAAGCATTCTCAGAAACATCTATGTGAAGTGTGCATTCAACTCACAGAGTTGAACCTTCCTTTTGATAGAAGAGTTTTGAAACACTCTTTTGTACTATTGCAGGTGAATATTTGGAGCGATTTGAAGCCTTTGTTGGAAATGGGAATATCCTCACATAAAAAGTAGCCAGAAGCATTCTCAGAAACTTCTTTGTGATGTGTGCATTGAACCCAGAGAGATGAACCATTCCTTTGATAGAGCAGTTTTGAAACGTGTTTCTGTAAGATCTGCAAGTGGATATTTGGGACGCTTTGAGTCCTTTGGTGGAAACGGGAATATCTTCTAATAAAAACTAGACCGAAATATTCTCAGAATCTTCTTTGTGATGTGGGCATTCAACTAACAGAGTTGAACATTTCTTGTGACAGAGCAGTTTTGAAACACTCTTTTTGTAGAATCTGCCAGTGGATATTTGGAGCGCTTTGAGGGCTTTGTAGAAATGGAAAAGTCTTCACCTAAAAACTAGACAGAAGCAATCCCAGAAACTACTTTGTGATGTTTGCATTAAACTCATAGAGTTGAACCTACCTCTTCATAGAGCAGTTTGGAAAACCTCTTTTTGTAGAATCTGCAAGTGGATATTTGGACCACTTTGAGGCCTTCATAGGAAACAGTACTATCTTCACATAAAATCTAGGTAGAAGCATTGTCAGAAAGTTCTTTGTGATGTGTGAATTCAACTCACAGAGTTGAACCTTCCTTTAATAGAGCAGTTTTGAAACACTCTTTTTGTAGAATCTGCAAGTACATATTTGGAGCGCTTTGAGGCCTTCGTTGGAAACCGGAATATCTTCACATAAAAAGTAGATAGAGGCATTCTCAGAAACTTTTTTGTGATATGTAGATTCAGTTCACAGCGTTGAACCTTTCTTTTGATAGAGCAGTTTTGAAAAACTCTTTTATCGAATCTGTAAGTAGACATTTGGAGTGCTTTGAGGGCTGTGGTCGAAAAGGAAATATCTTCACATAGAAACTAGACTGAAGCATTCTCAGCAACTTCTTTGTGTCGTTTGCATTCATCTCACAGTGTTGAACATACCTTTTCATAGAGCAGTTTTGAAACACTCTTTTTGTAGAATCTGCAATTGGATATTTGGACTGCGTTGAGGCCTCCACTGGAAACGGGAATATCTTCACATAAACACTAGACAGAAGCATTCTCTGAAACTTCTTTGTGATGTGTGTATTCAACTCACAGAGTTGAACCATCTTTTTTATGGAGCGGTTTTGAAACAGTGTTTTTGTAGAATCAGCAAGTGGATATTTGGAGCGCTTTGAGGCCTCTGGTGGAAAGGGAATGTCTTCACATAAAAACTGGACAGAAGTATTCTCAGAAACATCTTTGTGATGTTTGCATTCAACTCACAGAGTTGATCCTTCCTTTTAATAGGGCAGTTTTGCAACACTCTTTTTGTAGAATGCACCAGTGGGCTTTTGGAGCACGTCAAGGGCTATGGTGAAAAAGGAAATATCTTCACATAAAAACTAGACGGAAGTATTCTGTAAAACTCCTTTGTGATGTTTGCATTCAACTCAGAAAGTTGAACTTCTCTTTATATAGTCCAGTTTTCAAACACTATTTTTGTAGAATCTGCAAGTGGATACTGGGACTGCTTTGAGGCCTTCGTTGGAAACGGGATTATCTTCACATAGAAACTAGACTGAAGGATTCTTAGAAACTTCTTTGTGATGTGTGCATTCAACTCACCGAGTGGAACCTCACTTTTGATAGAGCAGTGTTGAAAGACACTTGTTGTAGAATCTGCAGGTGGATATTTGGAGTGCTTTGAAGCCTTCCTTGGAAACGGGAATATCTTCACATAAAAACTAGACATAAGCATTCTCAGAAACTCCTTTGTGATCTGTCCATTCAGCTCACAGAGTTGAACCTTCCCTTTGATAGAGCAGTTTTGAAACACTCTTTCTGTAGAGTCTGCAAGTGGATATCAGGAGCGCTTTGAAGCCTATGGTAGAAAAAGAAATATCTGGCTCTAAAAACTAGACAGAAGCATTCTCAGAAACTTCTTTGTGATGTTTGCATTCAACTACCAGAGTTGAACCTTCCTTTTGATAGAGCAGTTTTGAAACACTCTTTTTGTAGAATCTGCACGTGGATATCTGGAGCGATTTTTGAGGCCTACGTTCGAAAAGGAAATATCTTCCTATGAAAAATAGACAAAAGCATTCTCACAAACTACTTTGAGATATGTGCATTCAACTCACAGAGTTGAAACTTTTTTTTGATAGAGCAGTTTTGAAACACTCTGTAGAATCTGAAAGTGGATATTTGGAGCTATTTGAGGGCTATGGTGGAAAGGAAAATATATTCCCATTAAACTAGACAGAAGCATCCTCAGAAACTTCTTTATGATGTTTGCATTAAACTCACAGAGTTGAACATACCTTTCCATAGAGCAGTTTTGAAACACTCTTTTTGGGGAATCCACAAGTGGATATTTGGACCGCTTTGAGACCTTTGCTGGAAATGGGAATATCTTCACATATAAACTAGACAGAAGCATTCTCAGAAAGTTCTTCGTGATGTGTGCATTCTACTCCCAAAGTTGAACCTTCCTTTTCATAAGGCAGTTTTGAAACACTCCTTTTGTACAATCTACAATTGGATATTTGGAACGCTTTGATGCCCGTGGTAGAAAAGGTAATGTCCTCATATAAAAACTAGACAGAAGGATTCACAGAAACTGCTGTGTGATGTGTGCATCGAAATCACGGAGTTGAACTTTTCTTTTGTTAGAGCAGTTTTGAAACCCTGTTTCCGTGGAATCTGCCAGTGGACATTTGGAGCGCATTGAGGGCTATGGTGGAGAAGGAAATATCTTCACATAAAAACTAGAAAGAAGCATTCTCAGAAACATCTATGTGAAGTGTGCATTCAACTCACAGAGTTGAACCTTCCTTTTGATAGAAGAGTTTTGAAACACTCTTTTGTACAATTGCAGGTGAATATTTGGAGCGCTTTGAAGCCTTTGTTGGAAATGGGAATATCCTCACATAAAAACTAGCCAGAAGCATTCTCAGAAACTTCTTTGTGATGTGTGCATTGAACCCAGAGAGATGAACCATTTCTTTGAGAGAGCAGTTTTGAAACGTGTTTTTGTAAGATCTGCAAGTGGATATTTGGGGCGCTTTGAGCCCTTAGGTGGAAACGGGAATATCTTCGAATAAAAACTAGACAGAAATATTCTCAGAATCTTCTTTGTGATGTGGGCATTCAACTAACACAGTTGAACATTTCTTTTGACAGAGCAGTTTTGAAACACACTTTTAGTAGAATCTGCCAGTGGATATTTGGGGCGCTTTGAGGGCTATTGTGCAAATGGAAATATCTTCACCTAAATACTAGACAGAAGCATTCTCAGAAACTACGTTGTGATGTTTGCATTCAACTCACAGTGTTGAACATACATCTTCATAGAGCAGTTTTGAAAACCTCTTTTGGTAGAATCTGCAAGTGGATATTTTGACCACTTTGAGGCCTTCATAGGAAACAGTAATATCTTCACATAAAAACTAGATGGAAGCATTCTCAGAAACTTCTTTGTGATGTGTGAATTCAACTCACAGAGTTGAACCTTCCTTTAATAGAGCAGTTTTGAAACACTCTTTTTGTAGAATCTGCCAGTAGATATTTGGAGCGCTTTCAGGCCTTCGTTGGAAACCGGAATATCTTCACATAAAAAGTAGATAGAGGCATTCTCAGAAACTTTTTTGTGATATGTAGATTCAACTCAGAGCGTTGAACCTTTCTTTTGATAGAGCAGTTTTGAAAAACTCTTTTATCGAATCTGCAAGTAGACATTTGGAGTGCTTTGAGGGCTGTGGTCGAAAAGGAAATATCTTCACATAGAAACTAGACTGAAGCATTCTCAGCAACTTCTTTGTGACGTTTGCATTCATCTCACAGTGTTGAACATACCTTTTCATAGAGCAGTTTTGAAACACTATTTTTGTAGTATCTGCAAGTGGATATTTGGACTGCTTTGAGGCCTTCATTGGAAACGGGAATATATTCACATAAACACTAGACAGAAGCATTCTCTGAAACTTCTTTGTGATGTGTGTATTCAACTCACAGAGTTGAACCATCTTTTTTATGGAGCGGTTTTGAAACAGTGTTTTTGTAGAATCAGCAATTGGATATTTGGAGCGCTTTGAGGCCTCTGGTGGAAAGGGAATGTCTTCACATAAAAACTGGACAGAAGCATTCTCAGAAACATCTTTGTGATGTTTCCATTCAACTCACAGAGTTGATCCTTCCTTTTAATAGGGCAGTTTTGCAACACTCTTTTTGTACAATGCACCAGTGGGCTTTTGGAGCACGTCAAGGGCTATGGTGAAAAAGGAAATATCTTCACATAAAAACTAGACAGAAGTATTGTGTAAAACTCCTTTGTGATGTTTGCATTCAACTCAGAAAGTTGAACTTCTCTTTATATAGTCCAGTTTTCAAACACTATTTTTGTAGAATCTGCAAGTGGATACTGGGACTGCTTTGAGGCCTTCATTGGAAACGGGATTATCTTCACATAAAAACTAGACTGAAGGATTCTTAGAAACTTCTTTGTGATGTGTGCATTCAACTCACCGAGTGGAACCTCACTTTTGATAGAGCAGTGTTGAAAGACACTTGTTGTAGAATCTGCAGGTGGATATTTGGAGTGCTTTGAAGACTTCCTTGGAAACGGGAATATCTTCACATAAAAACTAGACATAAGCATTCTCAGAAACTTCTTTGTGATCTGTCCATTCAACTCACAGAGTTGAACCTTCCTTTTTATGGAGCCGTTTTGAAACACTGTTTTTGTAGAATCTGCAAGTGGATATTTGGAGCGCTTTGAGGCCTATGGTAGAGAAAGAAATATCTGCATATCAAAACTAGACAGAAGCATTCTGAGAAACTTCTTTGTGATGTTTGCATTCAACTACCAGAGTTGAACATTCCTTTTTGATAGAGCAGTTTTGAAACACTCTTTTTGTAGAATCTGCATGTGGATATCTGGAGCGATTTGAGGCCTATGGTCAAAAAGGAAATATCTTCCTATGAAAAACAGACAAAAGCATTCTCAGAAACTACTTAGAGATATGTGCATTCAACTCACAGAGTTGAAACTTTTTTTTGATAGAGCAGTTTTGAAACACTCTGTAGAATCTGAAAGTGGATATTTGGAGCTATTTGAGGGGCTATGGTGGAAAAGAAAATATATTCCCATTAAACTAGACAGAAGCATCCTCAGAAACTTCTTTATGATGTTTGCATTAAACTCACAGAGTTGAACACACCATTCCATAGAGCAGTTTTGAAACACTCTTTTTGGGGAATCCGCAAGTGGATATTTGGACCGCTTTGAGACCTTTGCTGGAAATGGGAATATCTTCACATATAAACTAGACAGAAGCATTCTCGGAAACTTCTTCGTGATGTGTGCATTCTGCTCCCAAAGTTGAACCTTCCTTTTCATAAAGCAGTTTTGAAACACTCTTTTGTACAATCTACCATTGGATATGTGGAAGGCTTTGATGCCCATGGTAGAAAAGGATACATCCTCATATAAAATCTAGACAGAATGATTCACAGAAACTGCTTTGTGATGTGTGCATTCAAATCACGGAGTTGGACCTTTCTTTTATTAGAGCAGTTTTGAAACACTGTTTCTGTGGAATCTGCCAGTGGACATTTGGAGCGCATTGAGGGCTATGGTGGAGAAGGAAATATCTTCACATAAAAACTAGAAAGAAGCATTCTCAGAAACACCTATGTGAAGTGTGCATTCAACTCACAGAGTTGAACCGTTCTTTTGATAGAAGAGTTTTGAAACACTCTTTTGTACAATTGCAGGTGAATATTTGGAGCGCTTTGAAGCCTTTGTTGGAAATGGGAATATCCTCACATAAAAACTAGCCAGAAGCATTCTCAGAAACTTCTTTGTGATGTGTGCGTTGAACCCAGAGAGATGAACCTTTCCTTTGATAGAGCAGTTTTGAAACGTGTTTTTGTAAGATCTGCAAGCGGATAATTGGCTTCGCTTTGTGTCCTTTGGTGGAAACGGGAATATCTTCTAATAAAAACTAGACAGAATTATTCTCAGAATCTTCTTTGTGATGTGGGCATTCAACTAACACAGTTGAACATTTCTTTTGACAGAGCAGTTCTGAAACACTCTTTTTGTAGAATCCGCCAGTGGATATTTGGAGCGCTTTGAGGGCAATTGTGCAAATGGAAATATCTTCACCTAAAAACTAGACCGAAGCATTCTCAGAAACTGCTTTGTGATGTTTGCATTCAACTCACAGAGTTGAACATACCTCTTCATAGAGCAGTTTTGAAAACCCCTTTTTGTAGAATCTGCAAGTGGATATTTGGACCACTTTGAGGCCTTCATAGAAAACAGTAATATCTTCACATAAAGACTAGATGGAAGCATTCTCAGAAACTTCTTTGTGATGTGTGAATTCAACTCACAGAGTGGAACCTTCCTTTAACAGAGCAGTTTTGAAACACTCTTTTTGTAGAATCTGCAAGTAGATATTTGGAGCGCTTTGAGGCCTTCGTTGGAAACCGGAATGTCTTCACATAAAAAGTAGATAGAGTCATTCTCAGAAACTTTTTTGTGATATGTAGATTCAACTCACAGCGTTGAACCTTTCTTTTGATAGAGCAGTTTTGAAAAACTCTTTTATCGAGTCTGCAAGTAGACATTTGGAGTGCTTTGAGGGCTGTGGTCGAAAAGGAAATATCTTCACATAGAAACTAGACTGAAGCATTCTCAGCAACTTCTTTGTGACGTTTGCATTCATCTCACAGTGTTGAACATACCTTTTCATAGAGCAGTTTTGAGACACTATTTTTGTAGTATCTGCAAGTGGATATTTGGACTGCTTTGAGGCCTTCATTGGAAACGGGAATATCTTCACATAAACACTAGACAGAAGCATTCTCTGAAACTTCTTTGTGATGTGTGTATTCAACTCACAGAGTTGAACCATCTTTTTTATGGAGCGGTTTTGAAACAGTGTTTTTGTAGAATCAGCAAGTGGATATTGGGAGCGCTTTGAGGCCTCTGGTGGAAAGGGAATGTCTTCACATAAAAACTGGACAGAAGCATTCTCAGAAACATCTTTGTGATGTTTGCATTCAACTCACAGAGTTGATCCTTCCTTTTAATAGGGCAGTTTTGCATCACTCTTTTTGTAGAATGCACCAGTGGGCTTTTGGAGCACGTCAAGGGCTATGGTGAAAAAGGAAATATCTTCACATAAAAACTAGACAGAAGTATTCTGTAAAACTCCTTTGTGATGTTTGCATTCAACTCAGAAAGTTGAACTTCTCTTTATATAGTCCAGTTTTCAAACACTATTTTTGTAGAATCTGCAAGTGGATACTGGGACTGCTTTGAGGCCTTCGTTGGAAACGGGTATCTTCACATAAAAACTAGACTGAAGGATTCTTAGAAACTTCTTTGTGATGTGTGCATTCAACTCACCGAGTGGAACCTCACTTTTGATAGAGCAGTGTTGAAAGACACTTGTTGTAGAATCTGCAGGTGGATATTTGGAGTGCTTTGAAGCCTTCCTTGGAAACGGGAATATCTTCACATAAAAACTAGACATAAGCATTCTCAGAAACTTCTTTGTGATCTGTCCATTCAACTCACAGAGTTGAACCTTCCTTTTTATGGAGCAGTTTTGAAACACTGTTTTTGGAGAATCTGCAAGTGGATATTTGGAGCACTTTTAGGCCTATGGTAGAAAAAGAAATATCTGCCTATTACAACTAGACTGAAGCATTCTCAGAAACTGCTTTGTGATATGTGCATTCGACTCTCCGAGTTGAAACTTTTTTTTGATAGAGCAGTTTTGAAACACTCTGTAGAATCTGAAAGTGGATATTTGGAGCTCTTTGAGGGCTATGGCGGAAAAGAAAATATATTCACATTAAACTAGACAGAAGCATCCTCAGAAACTTCTTTATGATGTTTGCATTCAACTCACAGAGTTGAACATACCTTTCCATAGAGCAGTTTTGAAACACTCTTTTTGGGGAATCCGCAAGTGGATATTTGGACCGCTTTGAGACCTTTGCTGGAAATGGGAATATCTTCACATATAAACTAGACAGAAGCATTCTTGGAAACTTCTTCGTGATGTGTGCATTCTGCTCCCAAAGTTGAACGTTCCTTTTCATAAAGCAGTTTTGAAACACTCTTTTGTACAATCTACCATTGGATATGTGGAAGGCTTTGATGCCCATGGTAGAAAAGGAAACATCCTCATATAAAATCTAGACAGAAGGATTCACAGAAACTGCTTTGTGATGTCAGCATTCAAATCACAGAGTTGAACCTTTCTTTTGTTAGAGCAGTTTTGAATCGCTGTTTCTGTGGAATCTGCCAGTGGACATTTGGAGCCCATTGAGGGCAATTGTGGAGAAGGAAATATCTTACATAAAAACTAGAAAGAAGCATTCTCAGAAACATCTATGTGAAGTGTGCCTTCAACACACAGAGTTGAACCTTCCCTTTGACAGAACAGTTTTGAAACTCACTTTTGTACAATTGCAGGTGAATATTTGGAGCGCCTTGAAGCCTTTGTTGGAAGTGGGAATATCTTCACATACAAACTAGCCAGAAGCATTCTCAGAAACTTCTTTGTGATGTGTGCATTGAACCCAGAGAGATGAACCTTTCCTTTGATAGAGCAGTTTTGAAACGTGTTTCTGTAAGATCTGCAAGTGGATATTTGGGGCGCTTTGAGTCCTTTGGTGGAAACGGGAATATCTTCTAATAAAAACTAGACAGAAATATTCTCAGAATCTTCTTTGTGATGTGGGCATTCAACTAACACAGTTGAACATTTCTTGTGACAGAGCAGTTTTGAAACACTCTTTTTGTAGAATCTGCCAGTGGATATTTGGAGCGCTTTCAGGGCTATTGCACAAATGGAAAAGTCTTCACATAAAAACTAGACAGAAGCATTCTCAGAAACTTCTTTGTGATGTTTGCATTCAAATACCAGAGTTGAACCTCCCTCTTCATAGAGCAGTTTTGAAATCCTCTTTTTGTAGAATCTGCAAGTGGATATTTGGACCACTTTGAGGCCTTCATAGGAAACAGTACTATCTTCACATAAAAACTAGATAGAAGCATTCTCAGAAACTTCTTTGTGATGTGTGAATTTAACTGAGAGAGTTGAACCTTGCTTTAATAGAGCAGTTTTGAAACACTCTTTTTGTAGAATCTGCAAGTAGATATTTGGAGCGCTTTGAGACCTTCGTTGGAAACCGGAATATCTTCACATAAAAAGTAGATAGAGGCATTCTCAGAAACTTTTTTGTTATATGTAGATTCAACTCACAGTGTTGAAGCTTTCTTTTGATAGAGCAGTTTTTAAGAACTCTTTTATCGAATCTGCAAGTAGACATTTGGAGTGCTTTGAGGGCTGTAGTCGAAAAGGAAATATCTTCACATAGAAACTAGACTGAAGCATTCTCAGCAACTTCTTTGTGACGTTTGCATTCATCTCACAGTGTTGAACATACCTTTTCATAGAGCAGTTTTGAAACACTATTTTTGTAGTATCTGCAAGTGGATATTTGGACTGCTTTGAGGCCTCATTGGAAACGGGAATATCTTCACATAAACACTAGACAGAAGCATTCTCTGAAACTTCTTTGTGATGTGTGTATTCAACTCACAGAGTTGAACCATCTTTTTTATGGAGCGGTTTTGAAACAGTGTTTTTGTAGAATCAGCAAGTGGATATTGGGAGCGCTTTGAGGCCTCTGGTGGAAAGGGAATGTCTTCACATAAAAACTGGACAGAAGCATTCTCAGAAACATCTTTGTGATGTTTGCATTCAACTCACAGAGTTGATCCTTCCTTTTAATAGGGCAGTTTTGCAACACTCTTTTTGTAGAATGCACCAGTGGGCTTTTGGAGCACGTCAAGGGCTATGGTGAAAAAGGAAATATCTTCTCATAAAAACTAGACTGAAGTATTCTGTAAAACTCCTTTGTGATGTTTGCATTCAACTCAGAAAGTTGAACTTCTCTTTATATAGTCCAGTTTTCAAACACTATTTTTGTAGCATCTGCAAGTGGATACTGGGACTGCTTTGAGGCCTTCGTTGGAAACGGGATTACCCGTCACATAGAAACTAGACTGAAGGATTCTTAGAAACTTCTTTGTGATGTGTGCATTCAACTCACCGAGTGGAACCTCACTTTTGATAGAGCAGTGTTGAAAGACACTTGTTGTAGAATCTGCAGGTGGATATTTGGAGTGCTTTGAAACCTTCCTTGGAAACGGGAATATCTTCACATAAAAACTAGACATAAGCATTCTCAGAAACTTCTTTGTGATCTGTCCATTCAGCTCACAGAGTTGAACCTTCCTTTTGATAGAGCAGTTTTGAAACACTCTTTCTGTAGAGTCTGCAAGTGGATATCAGGAGCGCTTTGAGGCCTATGGTAGAAAAAGAAATATCTGCATATAAAAACTAGACAGAAGCATTCTGAGAAACTTCTTTGTGATGTTTGCATTCAACTACCAGAGTTGAACCTTCCTTTTGATAGAGCAGTTTTGAAACACTCTTTGTGTAGAATCTGCATGTGGATATCAGGAGCGCTTTGAGGCCTATGGCAGAAAAAGAAATATCTGGCTCTAAAAACTAGACAGAAGCATTCTCAGCAAACTACTTTGAGATATGTGCATTCAACTCACAGAGTTGAAACTTTTTTTTGATAGAGCAGTTTTGAAACACTCTGTAGAATCTGAAAGTGGATATTTGGAGCTATTTGAGGGCTATGGTGGAAAAGAAAATATATTCCCATTAAACTAGACAGAAGCATCCTCAGAAACTTCTTTATGATGTTTGCATTAAACTCACAGAGTTGAACATACCTTTCCATAGAGCAGTTTTGAAACACTCTTTTTGGGGAATCCGCAAGTGGATATTTGGACCGCTTTGAGACCTTTGCTGGAAATGGGAATATCTTCACATATAAAGTAGACAGAACCATTCTCAGAAACTGCTACGTGATGTGTGCATTCAACTCACAGAGTTGAACCTTCCTTTTCATAAAGCAGTTTTGAAACACTCCTTTTGTACAATCTACAATTGGATATTTGGAACGCTTTGATGCCCGTGGTAGAAAAGGAAATCTCCTCATATAAAAACTAGACAGAAGGATTCACAGAAACTGCTGTGTGATGTGTGCATCCAAATCACGGAGTTGAACTTTTCTTTTGTTAGAGCAGTTTTGAAACCCCGTTTCCGTGGAATCTGCCAGTGGACATTTGGAGCGCATTGAGGGCTATGGTGGAGAAGGAAATATCTTCACATAAAAACTAGAAAGGAAGCATTCTCAGAAACATCTATGTGAAGTATGCATTCAACTCACAGAGTTGAACCTTCCTTTTGATAGAAGAGTTTTGAAACACTCTTTTGTACAATTGCAGGTGAATATTTGGAGCGCTTTGAAGCCTTTGTTGGAAATGGGAATATCCTCACATTAAAAACTAGCCAGAAACATTCTCAGAAACTTCTTTGTGATGTGTGCATTGAACCCAGAGAGATGAACCGTTCCTTTGAGAGAGCAGTTTTGAAACGTGTTTTTGTAAGATCTGCAAGTGGATATTTGGGGCGCTTTGAGTCCTTAGGTGGAAACGGGAATATCTTCGAATAAAAACTAGACAGAATTATTCTCAGAATCTTCTTTGTGATGTGGGCATTCAACTAACACAGTTGAACATTTCTTTTGACAGAGCAGTTCTGAAACACTCTTTTTGTAGAATCCGCCAGTGGATATTTGGAGCGCTTTGAGGGCTATTGTGCAAATGGAAATATCTTCAACTAAAAACTAGACCGAAGCATTCTCAGAAACTGCTTTGTGATGTTTGCATTCAACTCACAGAGTTGAACCTACCTCTTCATAGAGCAGTTTGGAAAACCTCTTCTTGTAGAATCTGCAAGTGGATATTCGGACCACTTTGAGGCCTTCATAGGAAACAGTAATATCTTCACATAAAAACTAGATAGAAGCATTCTCGGAAACTTCTTAGTGATGTGTGAATTCAACTCACAGAGTTGAACCTTCGTTAAATAGAGCAGTTTTGAAACACTCTTTTTGTGGAATCTGCAATAGATATTTGGAGCGCTTTGAGGCCTTCGTTGGAAACCGGAATGTCTTCACATAAAAAGTAGATAGAGGCATTCTCAGAAACTTTTTTGTGATATGTAGATTCAACTCACAGTGTTGAACCTTTCTTTTGATTGAGCTGTTTTGAAAAACTCTTTTATCGAATCTGTAAGTAGACATTTGGAGTGCTTTGAGGGCTGTGGTCGAAAAGGAAATATCTTCCCATAGAAACTAGACTGAAGCATTCTCAGCAACTTCTTGGTGACGTTTGCATTCATCTCACAGTGTTGAACATACCTTTTCATAGAGCAGTTTTGAAACACTATTTTTGTAGTATCTGCAAGTGGATATTTGGACTGCTTTGAGGCCTTCATTGGAAACGGGAATATCTTCACATAAACACTAGACAGAAGCATTCTCTGAAACTTCTTTGTGATGTGTGTATTCAACTCACAGAGATGAACCATCTTTTTTATGGAGCGGTTTTGAAACAGTGTTTTTGTAGAATCAGCAAGTGGATATTGGGAGCGCTTTGAGGCCTCTGGTGGAAAGGGAATGTCTTCACATAAAAACTGGACAGAAGCATTCTCAGCAACATCTTTGTGATGTTTGCATTCAACTCACAGAGTTGATCCTTCCTTTTAATAGGGCAGTTTTGCAACACTCTTTTTGTAGAATGCACCAGTGGGCTTTTGGAGCACGTCAAGGGCTATGGTGAAAAAGGAAATATCTTCACATAAAAACTAGACAGAAGTATTGTGTAAAACTCCTTTGTGATGTTTGCATTCAACTCAGAAAGTTGAACTTCTCTTTATATAGTCCAGTTTTCAAACACTATTTTTGTAGAATCTGCAAGTGGATACTGGGACTGCTTTGAGGCCTTCATTGGAAACGGGATTATCTTCACATAAAAACTAGACTGAAGGATTCTTAGAAACTTCTTTGTGATGTGTGCATTCAACTCACCGAGTGGAACCTCACTTTTGATAGAGCAGTGTTGAAAGACACTTGTTGTAGAATCTGCAGGTGGATATTTGGAGTGCTTTGAAGCCTTCCTTGGAAACGGGAATATCTTCACATAAAAACTAGACATAAGCATTCTCAGAAACTTCTTTGTGATCTGTCCATTCAACTCACAGAGTTGAACCTTCGTTCATATGGAGCCGTTTTGAACCACTGTTTTTGTAGAATCTGCAAGTGGATATTTGGAGCGCTTTGAGGCCTATGGTAGAAAAGGAAATATCTGCCTCTAAAAACTAGACAGAAGCATTCTCAGAAACTTGTTTGTGATGTTTGCCTTCAACTTCCAGAGTTGAACCTTCCTTTTGATAGAGCAGTTTTGAAACACTCTTTTTGTAGAATCTGCATGTGGATATCTGGAGCGATTTTTGAGGCCTATGGTCAAAAAGGAAATATCTTCCTATGAAAAATAGACAAAAGCATTCTCAGAAACTACTTTGAGATATGTGCATTTAACCCACAGAGTTGAAACTTTTTTTTGATAGAGCAGTTTTGAAACACTCTGTAAAATCTGAAAGTGGATATTTGGAGCTATTTGAGGGCTATGGTGGAAAAGAAAATATATTCCCATTAAACTAGACAGAAGCATCCTCAGAAACTTCTTTGTGATGTTTGCATTAAACTCACAGAGTTGAACATACCTTTCCATAGAGCAGTTTTGAAACACTCTTTTTGGGGAATCCGCAAGTGGATATTTGGACCGCTTTGAGACCTTTGCTGGAAATGGGAATATCTTCACATATAAACTAGACAGAAGCATTCTCGGAAACTTCTTTGTGATGTGTGCATTCTGCTCCCAAAGTTGAACCTTCCTCTTCATAAAGCAGTTTTGAAACACTCTTTTGTACAATCTACCATTGGATATGTGGAAGGCTTTGATGCCCATGGTAGAAAAGGAAACATCCTCATATAAAATCTAGACAGAAGGATTCACAGAAACTGCTGTGTGATGTGTGCATCCAAATCACGGAGTTGAACGTTTCTTTTGTTAGAGCAGTTTTGAAACCCTGTTTCCGTGGAATCTGCCAGTGGACATTTGGAGCGCATTGAGGGCTATGGTGGAGAAGGAAATATCTTCACATAAAAACTAGAAAGAAGCATTCTCAGAAACATCTATGTGAAGTGTGCATTCAACTCACAGAGTTGAACCTTCCTTTTGATAGAAGAGTTTTGAAACACTCTTTTGTACAATTGCAGGTGAATATTTGGAGCGCTTAGAAGCCTTTGTTGGAAATGGGAATATCCTCACATAAAAACTAGCCAGAAGCATTCTCAGAAACTTCTTTGTGATGTGTGCATTGAACCCAGAGAGATGAACCGTTCCTTTGAGAGAGCAGTTTTGAAACGTGTTCTTGTAAGATCTGCAAGTGGATATTTGGGGCGCTTTGAGCCCTTAGGTGTAAACGGGAATATCTTCGAATAAAAACTAGACAGAATTATTCTCAGAATCTTCTTTGTGATGTGGGCATTCAACTAACACAGTTGAACATGTCTTTTGACAGAGCAGTTCTGAAACACTCTTTTTGTAGAATCCGCCAGTGGATATTTGGAGCGCTTTGAGGGCTATTGTGCAAATGGAAATATCTTCACCTAAAAACTAGACCGAAGCAATCCCAGAAACTACTTTGTGATGTTTGCATTCAACTCACAGAGTTGAACCTACCTCTTCATAGAGCAGTTTGGAAAACCTCTTTTTATAGAATCTGCAAGTGGATATTTGGACCACTTTGAGGCCTTCATAGGAAACAGTACTATCTTCACATAAAAACTAGGTAGAAGCATTCTCAGAAACTTCTTTGTGATGTGTGAATTCAACTCACAGAGTTGAACCTTCCTTTAATAGAGCAGTTTTGAAACACTCTTTTTGTAGAATCTGCCAGTAGATATTTGGAGCGCTTTGAGGCCTTCGTTGGAAACCGGAATATCTTCACATAAAAAGTAGATAGAGGCATTCTCAGAAACTTTTTTGTGATATGTAGATTCAACTGACAGCGTTGAACCTTTCTTTTGATAGAGCAGTTTTGAAAAACTCTTTTCTCGAATCTGCAAGTAGACATTTGGAGTGCTGTGAGGGCTGTGGTCCAAAAGGAAATGTCTTCACAAAGAAACCAGACTGAAGCATTCTCAGCAACTTCTTTGTGACGTTTGCATTCATCTCACAGTGTTGAACATACCTTTTCATAGAGCAGTTTTGAGACACTATTTTTGTAGTATCTGCAAGTGGATATTTGGACTGCTTTGAGGCCTTCATTGGAAATGGGAATATCTTCACATAAACACTAGACAGAAGCATTCTCTGAAACTTCTTTGTGATGTGTGTATTCAACTCACAGAGTTGAACCATCTTTTTTATGGAGCGGTTTTGAAACAGTGTTTTTGTAGAATCAGCAATTGGATATTGGGAGCGCTTTGAGGCCTCTGGTGGAAAGGGAATGTCTTCACATAAAAACTGGACAGAAGTATTCTCAGAAACATCTTTGTGATGTTTGCATTCAACTCACAGAGTTGATCCTTCCTTTCAATAGGGCAGTTTTGCAACACTCTTTTTGTAGAATGCACCAGTGGGCTTTTGGAGCACGTCAAGGGCTATGGTGAAAAAGGAAATATCTTCACATAAAAATTAGACAGAAGTATTCTGTAAAACTCCTTTGTGATGTTTGCATTCAACTCAGAAAGTTGAACTTCTCTTTATATAGTCCAGTTTTCAAACACTATTTTTGTAGAATCTGCAAGTGGATACTGGGACTGCTTTGAGGCCTTCATTGGAAACGGGATTATCTTCACATAAAAACTAGACTGAAGGATTCTTAGAAACTTCTTTGTGATGTGTGCCTTCAACTCACCGAGTGGAACCTCACTTTTGATAGAGCAGAGTTGAAAGACACTTGTTGTAGAATCTGCAGGTGGATATTTGGAGTGTTTTGAAGCCTTCCTTGGAAACGGGAATATCTTCACATAAAAACTAGACATAAGCATTCTCAGAAACTCCTTTGTGATCTGTCCATTCAGCTCACAGAGTTGAACCTTCCTTTTGATAGAGCAGTTTTGAAACACTCTTTCTGTAGAGTCTGCAAGTGGATATCAGGAGCGCTTTGTCGCCTATGGCAGAAAAAGAAATATCTGGCTCTAAAAACTAGACAGAAGCATTCTGAGAAACTTCTTTGTGATGTTTGCATTCAACTACCAGAGTTGAACCTTCCTTTTGATAGAGCAGTTTTGAAACACTCTTTGTGTAGGATCTGCATGTGGATATCAGGAGCGCTTTGAGGCCTATGGCAGAAAAAGAAATATCTGGCTCTAAAAACTAGACAGAAGCATTCTCAGAAACTACTTTGTGTTATGTGCATTCAACTCACAGAGTTGAACCTTTTTTTTGATAGAGCCGTTTTGAAACACTCTGTAGAAACTGAAAGTGGATATTTGGAGCTATTTGAGGGCTATGGTGGAAAAGAAAATATATTCACATTAAACTAGACAGAAGCATTCTCAGAAACTTCTTTATGATGTTTGCATTAAACTCACAGAGTTGAACATACCTTTCCATAGAGCAGTTTTGAAACACTCTTTTTGTGGAATCCGCAAGTGGATATTTGGACCGCTTTGAGACCTTCGCTGGAAATGGGAATATCTTCACATACAAATTAGACAGAAGCATTCTCGGAAACTTCTTCGTGATGTGTGCATTCTGCTCCCAAAGTTGAACCTTCCTCTTCATAAAGCAGTTTTGAAACACTCTTTTGTACAATCTACCATTGGATATGGGGAAGGCTTTGATGCCCATGGTAGAAAAGGAAACATCCTCATATAAAATCTAGACAGAAGGATTCACAGAAACTGCTGTGTGATGTGTGCATCGAAATCACGGAGTTGAACTTTTCTTTTGTTAGAGCAGTTTTGAAACCCTGTTTCCGTGGAATCTGCCAGTGGACATTTGGAGCACATTGAGGGCTATGGTGGAGAAGGAAATATCTTCACATAAAAACTAGAAAGAAGCATTCTCAGAAACATCTATGTGAAGTGTGCATTCAACTCACAGAGTTGAACCTTCCTTTTGATATAAGAGTTTTGAAACACTCTTTTGTACAATTGCAGGTGAATATTTGGAGCGCTTTGAAGCCTTTGTTGGAAATGGGAATATCCTCACATAAAAACTAGCCAGAAGCATTCTCAGAAACTTCTTTGTGATGTGTGCATTGAACCCAGAGAGATGAACCGTTCCTTTGAGAGAGCAGTTTTGAAACGTGTTCTTGTAAGATCTGCAAGTGGATATTTGGGGCGCTTTGAGCCGTTAGGTGTAAACGGGAATATCTTCGAATAAAAACTAGACAGAATTATCTCAGAACCTTCTTTGTGATGTGGGCATTCAACTAACACAGTTGAACATTTCTTTTGACAGAGCAGTTCTGAAACACTCTTTTTGTAGAATCCGCCAGTGGATATTTGGAGCGCTTTGAGGGCTATTGTGCAAATGGAAATATCTTCACCTAAAAACTAGACCGAAGCAATCCCAGAAACTACTTTGTGATGTTTGCATTCAACTCACAGAGTTGAACCTACCTCTTCATAGAGCAGTTTGGAAAACCTCTTTTTGTAGAATCTGCAAGTGGATATTCGGACCACTTTGAGGCCTTCATAGGAAACAGTACTATCTTCACATAAAAACTAGGTAGAAGCATTCTCAGAAAATTCTTTGTGATGTGTGAATTCAACTCACAGAGTTGAACCTTCCTTTAATAGAGCAGTTTTGAAACACTCTTTTTGTAGAATCTGCAAGTAGATATTTGGAGCGCTTTGAGGCCTTCGTTGGAAACCGGAATATCTTCACATAAAAAGTAGATAGAGGCATTCTCAGAAAGTTTTTTGTGATATGTAGATTCAACTCACAGCGCTGAACCTTTCTTTTGATAGAGCAGTTTTGAAAAACTCTTTTATCGAATCTGCAAGTAGACATTTGGAGTGCTTTGAGGGCTGTGGTCGAAAAGGAAATATCTTCACATAGAAACTAGACTGAAGCATTCTCAGCAACATCTTTGTGATGTTTGCATTCATCTCACAGTGTTGAACATACCTTTTCATAGAGCAGTTTTGAAACACTATTTTTGTAGTATCTGCAAGTGGATATTTGGACTGCTTTGAGGCCTTCATTGGAAACGGGAATATCTTCACATAAACACTAGACAGAAGCATTCTCTGAAACTTCTTTGTGATGTGTGTATTCAACTCACAGAGTTGAACCATCTTTTTTATGGAGCGGTTTTGAAACAGTTTTTGTAGAATCAGCAATTGGATATTTGGAGTGCTTTGAGGCCTCTGGTGGAAAGGGAATGTCTTCACATAAAAACTGGACAGAAGCATTCTCAGAAACATCTTTGTGATGTTTGCATTCAACTCACAGAGTTGATCCTTCCTTTTAATAGGGCAGTTTTGCAACACTCTTTTTGTAGAATGCACCAGTGGGCTTTTGGGGCACGTCAAGGGCTATGGTGAAAAAGGAAATATCTTCACATAAAAACTAGACAGAAGTATTGTGTAAAACTCCTTTGTGATGTTTGCATTCAACTCAGAAAGTTGAACTTCTCTTTATATAGTCCAGTTTTCAAACACTATTTTTGTAGAATCTGCAAGTGGATACTGGGACTGCTTTGAGGCTATCGTTGGAAACAGGATTATCTTCACATAAAAACTAGACTGAAGCATTCTCAGCAACTTCTTTGTGACGTTTGAATTCATCTCACAGTGATGAACATACCTTTTCATAGAGCAGTTTTGAAACACTATTTTTGTAGAATCTGCAATTGGATATTTGGACTGCGTTGAGCCCCTCACTGGAAACGGGAATATCTTCACATAAAAACTAGACAGATGTATTCTCAGAAACTTCCTTGTGATCTGTCCATTAAACTCACAGAGTTGAACCTTCCGTTTTATGGAGCCGTTTTGAAACACTGTTTTTGTAGAATCTGCAAGTGGATATTTGGAGCGCTTTGAGGCCTAAGGTAGAAAAAGAAATATCTGCATATAAAAACTAGACAGAAGCATTCTGAGAAACTTCTTTGTGATGTTTGCATTCAACTACCAGAGTTGAACCTTCCTTTTGATAGAGCAGTTTCGAAACACTCTTTTTGTAGAATCTGCATGTGGATATCTGGAGCGATTTGAGGCCTATGGTCAAAAAGGAAATATCTTCCTATGAAAAACAGACAAAAACATTCTCAGAAACTACTTTGTGTTATGTGCATTCAACTCACAGAGTAGAACCTTTTTTTTGATATAGCCGTTTTGAAACGCTCTGTAGAAACTGAAAGTGGATATTTGGAGCTATTTGAGGGCTATGGTGGAAAAGAAAATATATTCACATTAAACTAGACAGAAGCATCCTCAGAAACTTCTTTATGATGTTTGCATTAAACTCACAGAGTTGAACATACCTTTCCATAGAGCAGTTTTGAAACACTGTTTTTGGGGAATCCGCAAGTGGATATTTGGACCGCTTTGAGACCTTTGCTGGAAATGGGAATATCTTCACATATAAACTAGACAGAAGCATTTTCGGAAACTTCTTCCTGATGTGTGCATTCTGCTCCCAAAGTTGAACCTTCCTCTTCATAAAGCAGTTTTGAAACACTCTTTTGTACAATCTACCATTGGATATGTGGAAGGCTTTGATGCCCATGGTAGAAAAGGATACATCCTCATATAAAATCTAGACAGAAGGATTCACAGAAACTGCTGTGTGATGTGTGCATCCAAATCACGGAGTTGAACTTTTCTTTTGTTAGAGCAGTTTTGAAACCCTGTTTCCGTGGAATCTGCCAGTGGACATTTGGAGCGCATTGAGGGCTATGGTGGAGAAGGAAATATCTTCACATAAAAACTAGAAAGAAGCATTCTCAGAAACACCTATGTGAAGTGTGCATTCAACTCACAGAGTTGAACCGTTCTTTTGATAGAAGAGTTTTGAAACACTCTTTTGTACAATTGCAGGTGAATATTTGGAGCGCTTTGAAGCATTTGTTGGAAATGGGAATATCCTCACATAAAAACTAGCCAGAAACATTCTCAGAAACTTCTTTGTGATGTGTGCATTGAACCCAGAGAGATGAACCGTTCCCTTGAGAGAGCAGTTTTGAAACGTGTTTTTGTAAGATCTGCAAGTGGATATTTGGGGCGCTTTGAGTCCTTAGGTGGAAACGGGAATATCTTCGAATAAAAACTAGACAGAATTATTCTCAGAATCTTCTTTGTGATGTGGGCATTCAACTAACACAGTTGAACATTTCTTTTGACAGAGCAGTTCTGAAACACTCTTTTTGTAGAATCCGCCAGTGGATATTTGGAGCGCTTTGAGGGCTATTGTGCAAATGGAAATATCTTCACCTAAAAACTAGACCGAAGCAATCCCAGAAACTACTTTGTGATGTTTGCATTCAACTCACAGAGTTGAACCTACCTCTTCATAGAGCAGTTTGGAAAACCTCTTTTTGTAGAATCTGCAAGTGGATATTTGGACCACATTGAGGCCTTCATAGGAAACAGTACTATCTTCACATAAAAACTAGGTAGAAGAATTCTCAGAAAGTTCTTTGTGATGTGTGAATTCAACTCACAGAGTTGAACCTTCCTTTAATAGAGCAGTTTTGAAACACTCTTTTTGTAGAATCTGCCAGTAGATATTTGGAGCGCTTTGAGGCCTTCGTTGGAAACCGGAATATCTTCACATAAAAAGTAGATAGAGGCATTCTCAGAAACTTTTTTGTGATATGTAGATTCAACTCACAGCGCTGAACCTTTCTTTTGATAGAGCAGTTTTGAAAAACTCTTTTATCGAACCTGCAAGCAGACATTTGGAGTGCTTTGAGGGCTGTGGTCGAAAAGGAAATATCTTCACATAGAAACTAGACAGAAGCATTCTCAGCAACTTCTTTGTGACGTTTGCATTCATCTCACAGTGTTGAACATACCTTTTCATAGAGCAGTTTTGAAACACTATTTTTGTAGTATCTGCAAGTGGATATTTGGACTGCTTTGAGGCCTTCATTGGAAACGGGAATATCTTCACATATACTCTAGACAGAAGCATTCTCTGAAACTTCTTTGTGATGTGTGTATTCAACTCACAGAGTTGAACCATCTTTTTTATGGAGCGGTTTTGAAACAGTGTTTTTGTAGAATCAGCAAGTGGATATTTGGAGCGCTTTGAGGCCTCTGGTGGAAAGAGAATGTCCTCTCATAAAAACTGGACAGAAGCATTCTCAGAAACATCTTTGTGATGTTTGCATTCAACTCACAGAGTTGATCCTTCCTTTTAATAGGGCAGTTTTGCAACACTCTTTTTGTAGAATGCACCAGTGGGCTTTTGGAGCACGTCAAGGGCTTTGGTGAAAAAGGAAATATCTTCACATAAAAACTAGACAGAAGTATTCTGTAAAACTCCTTTGTGATGTTTGCATTCAACTCAGAAAGTTGAACTTCTCTTTATATAGTCCAGTTTTCAAACACTATTTTTGTAGAATCTGCAAGTGGATACTGGGACTGCTTTGAGGCCTTCGTTGGAAACGGGATTATCTTCACATAGAAACTAGACTGAAGGATTCTTAGAAACTTCTTTGTGATGTGTGCCTTCAACTCACCGAGCGGAACCTCACTTTTGATAGAGCAGAGTTGAAAGACACTTGTTGTAGAATCTGCAGGTGGATATTTGGAGTGTTTTGAAGCCTTCCTTGGAAACGGGAATATCTTCACATAAAAACTAGACATAAGCATTCTCAGAAACCCCTTTGTGATCTGTCCATTCAGCTCACAGAGTTGAACCTTCCTTTTGATAGAGCAGTTTTGAAACACTCTTTCTGTAGAGTCTGCAAGTGGATATCAGGAGCGCTTTGAGGCCTATGGTAGAAAAAGAAATATCTGCATATAAAAACTAGACAGAAGCATTCTGAGAAACTTCTTTGTGATGTTTGCATTCAACTACCAGAGTTGAACCTTCCTTTTGATAGAGCAGTTTTGAAACACTCTTTTTGTAGAATCTGCATGTGGATATCTGGAGCGATTTGAGGCCTATGGTCAAAAAGGAAATATCTTCCTATGAAAAACAGACAAAAGAATTCTCAGAAACTACTTAGAGATATGTGCATTCAACTCACAGAGTTGAAACTTTTTTTTGATAGAGCAGTTTTGAAACACTCTGTAGAATCTGAAAGTGGATATTTGGAGCTATTTGAGGGCTATGGTGGAAAAGAAAATATATTCCCATTAAACTAGACAGAAGCATCCTCAGAAACTTCTTTATGATGTTTGCATTAAACTCACAGAGTTGAACATACCTTTCCATAGAGCAGTTTTGAAACACTCTTTTTGGGGAATCCGCAAGTGGATATTTGGACTGCTTTGAGACCTTTGCTGGAAAAGGGAATATCTTCACATATAAACTAGACAGAAGCATTCTCAGAAACTTCTTCGTGATGTGTGCATTCTACTCCCAAATTTGAATCTTCCTTTTCATGAAGCAGTTTTGAAACACTCTATTTGTGCATTCTACAATTGGATGATTGGAACGCTTTGATGCCCATGGTAGAAAAGGAAATATCCTCATATAAAAACTAGACAGAAGGATTCACAGAAACTGCTTTGTGATGTGTGCATTCAAATCACGGAGTTGGACCTTTCTTTTGTTAGAGCAGTTTTGAAACACTGTTTCTGTGGAATCTGCCAGTGGACATTTGGAGCGCATTGAGGGCTATGGTGGAGAAGGAAATATCTTCACAGAAAAACTAGAAAGAAGCATTCTCAGAAACATTTATGTGAAGCGTGCATTCAACTCACAGAGTTGAACCTTCCTTTTGATAGAACAGTTTTGAAACACTCTTTTGAACAATTGCAGGTGAATCTTTGGAGCGCTTTGAAGCCTTTGTTGGAAATGGGAATATCTTCACACACAAACTAGCCAGAAGTACTCTCAGAAACTTCTTTGTGATGTGTGCATTGAACCCAGAGAGATGAACCGTTCCTTTGAGAGAGCAGTTTTGAAACGTGTTTTTGTAAGATCTGCAAGTGGATATTTGGGGCGCTTTGAGCCCTTAGGTGGAAACGGGAATATCTTCGAATAAAAACTAGACAGAATTATTCTCAGCAATCTTCTTTGTGATGTGGGCATTCAACTAACACAGTTGAACATTTCTTTTGACAGAGCAGTTCTGAAACACTCTTTTTGTAGAATCCGCCAGTGGATATTTGGAGCGCTTTGAGGGCTATTGTGCAAACGGAAATATCTTCACCTAAAAACTAGACCGAAGCATTCTCAGAAACTACTTTGTGATGTTTGCATTCAACTCACATAGTTGAACATACCTCTTCATAGAGCAGGTTTGAAAACTTCTTTTTGTATTATCTGCAAGTGGATATTTGGACCACTTTGAGGCCTTCATAGGAAACAGTAATATATTCTCATAAAAACTCGATAGAAGCATTCTCAGAAACTTCTTTGTGATGGGTGAATTCAACTCACAGTGTTGAACCTTCCTTTAATAGAGCAGTTTTGAAACACTCTTTTTGTAGAATCTGCCAGTAGATATTTGGAGCGCTTTGAGGCCTTCGTTGGAAACCGGAATATCTTCACATAAAAAGTAGATAGAGGCATTCTCAGAAACTTTTTTGTGATATGTAGATTCAACTCACAGCGCTGAACCTTTCTTTTGATAGAGCAGTTTTGAAAAACTATTTTATCGAATCTGCAAGTAGACATTTGGAGTGCTTTGAGGGCTGTGGTCGAAAAGGAAATATCTTCACATAGAAACTAGACTGAAGCATTCTCAGCAACTTCTTTGTGACGTTTGAATTCATCTCACAGTGTTGAACATACCTTTTCATAGAACAGTTTTGAAACACTATTTTTGTAGAATCTGCAATTGGATATTTGGACTGCGTTGAGCCCCTCACTGGAAACGGGAATATCTTCACATAAAAACTAGACAGAAGCATTCTCTGAAACTTCTTTGTGATGTGTGTATTCATCTCACAGAGTTGAACCATCTTTTTTATGGAGCGGTTTTGAAACAGTGTTTTTGTAGAATCAGCAATTGGATATTTGGAGCGCTTTGAGGCCTCTGGTGGAAAGGGAATGTCTTCACATAAAAACTGGACAGAAGCATTCTCAGAAACATCTTTGTGATGTTTGCATTCAACTCACAGAGTTGATCCTTCCTTTTAATAGGGCAGTTTTGCAACACTCTTTTTGTAGAATGCACCAGTGGGCTTTTGGAGCACGTCAAGGGCTATGGTGAAAAAGGAAATATCTTCACATAAAAACTAGACAGAAGTATTCTGTAAAACTCCTTTGTGAAGTTTGCATTCAACTCAGAAAGTTGAACTTCTCTTTATATAGTCCAGTTTTCAAACACTATTTTTGTAGAATCTGCAAGTGGATACTGGGACTGCTTTGAGGCCTTCGTTGGAAACGGGATTATCTTCACATAAAAACTAGACTGAAGCATTCTCAGCAACTTCTTTGTGACGTTTGCATTCATCTCACAATGTTGAACATACTTTTTCATAGAGCAGTATTGAAACACTCTTTTTGTAAAATCTGCATTTGGATATTTGGACTGCGTTGAGGCCTTCACTGGAAACGGGAATTTCTTCACATAAACACTAGACAGAAGCATTCTCAGAAACTTCTTTGTGATCTGTCCATTCAACTCACAGAGTTGAACCTTCGTTCATATGGAGCCGTTTTGAACCACTGTTTTTGTAGAATCTGCAAGTGGATATTTGGAGCGCTTTGAGGCCTATGGTAGAAAAGGAAATATGTGCCTCTAAAAACTAGACAGAAGCATTCTGAGAAACTTCTTTGTGATGTTTGCATTCAACTACCAGAGTTGAACCTTCCTTTTTGATAGAGCAGTTTTGAAACACTCTTTTTGTAGAATCTGCATGTGGATATCTGGAGCGATTTGAGGCCTATGGTCAAAAAGGAAATATCTTCCTATGAAAAACAGACAAAATCAATCTGAGGAACTTCTTTGTGATGTGTGCATTCGTCCCACAGAGTTAAACCTTTCTTTTGATTGAGAAGTTTTGAGACTCTTTTTGTAGTACCTGGAAGTGGACATTTCGAAGGCCTTGAGGCCTATGGTGGAAAAGGAAATATCTTCTCATAAAAACTAGACTGAAGCATCCTCAGAAACTTCTTTATGATGTTTGCATTAAACTCACAGAGTTGAACATACCTTTCCATAGAGCAGTTTTGAAACACTCTTTTTGGGGAATCCGCAGGTGGATATTTGGACCGCTTTGAGACCTTTGCTGGAAACGGGAATATCTTCACATATAAACTAGACAGAAGCATTCTCGGAAACTTCTTCATGATGTCTGCATTCTGCTCCCAAAGTTGAACCTTCCTTTTCATAAAGCAGTTTTGAAACACTCTTTTGTACAATCTACCATTGGATATGTGGAAGGCTTTGATGCCCATGGTAGAAAAGGAAACATCCTCATATAAAATCTAGACAGAAGGATTCACAGAAACTGCTGTGTGATGTGTGCATCCAAATCACGGAGTTGAACTTTTCTTTTGTTAGAGCAGTTTTGAAACCCTGTTTCCGTGGAATCTGCCAGTGGACATTTGGAGCGCATTGAGGGCTATGGTGGAGAAGGAAATATCTTCACATAAAAACTAGAAAGAAGCATTCTCAGAAACATCTATGTGAAGTGTGCATTCAACTCACAGAGTTGAACCTTCCTTTTGATAGAAGAGTTTTGAAACACTCTTTTGTACAATTGCAGGTGAATATTTGGAGCGCTGTGAAGCCTTTGTTGGAAATGGGAATATCCTCACATAAAAACTAGCCAGAAGCATTCTCAGAAACTTCTTTGTGATGTGTGCATTGAACCCAGAGAGATGAACCGTTCCTTTGAGAGAGCAGTTTTGAAACGTGTTTTTGTAAGATCTGCAAGTGGATATTTGGGGCGCTTTGAGTCCTTAGGTGGAAACGGGAATATCTTCGAATAAAAACTAGACAGAATTATTCTCAGAATCTTCTTTGTGATTTGGGCATTCAACTAACACAGTTGAACATGTCTTTTGACAGAGCAGTTCTGAAACACTCTTTTTGTAGAATCCGCCAGTGGATATTTGGAGCGCTTTGAGGGGTATTGTGCAAATGGAAATATCTTCACCTAAAAACTAGACCGAAGCAATCCCAGAAACTACTTTGTGATGTTTGCATTCAACTCACAGAGTTGAACCTACCTCTTCATAGAGCAGTTTGGAAAACCTCTTTTTGTAGAATCTGCAAGTGGATATTTGGACCACTTTGAGGCCTTCATAGGAAACAGTACTATCTTCACATAAAAACTAGGTAGAAGCATTCTCAGAAACTTCTTTGTGATGTGTGAATTCAACTCACAGAGTTGAACCTTCCTTTAATAGAGCAGTTTTGAAACACTCTTTTTGTAGAATCTGCAAGTAGATATTTGGAGCGCTTAGAGGCCTTCGTTGGAAACCGGAATATCTTCACATAGAAAGTAGATAGAGGCATTCTCAGAAACTTTTTTGTGATATGTAGATTCAACTCACAGCGTTGAACCTTTCTTTTGATAGAGCAGTTTTGAAAAACTCTTTTATCGAATCTGCAAGTAGACATTTGGAGTGCTTTGAGGGCTGTGGTCGAAAAGGAAATATCTTCACATAGAAACTAGACTGAAGCATTCTCAGCAACTTCTTTGTGACGTTTGCACTCATCTCACAATGTTGAACATACTTTTTCATAGAGCAGTATTGAAACACTCTTTTTGTAAAATCTGCATTTGGATATTTGGACTGCGTTGAGGCCTTCACTGGAAACGGGAATTTCTTCACATAAACACTAGACAGAAGCATTCTCTGAAACTTCTTTGTGATGTGTGTATTCAACTCACAGAGTTGAACCATCTTTTTTATGGAGCGGTTTTGAAACAGTGTTTTTGTAGAATCAGCAATTGGATATTTGGAGCGCTTTGAGGCCTCTGGTGGAAAGGGAATGTCTTCACATAAAAACTGGACAGAAGCATTCTCAGAAACATCTTTGTGATGTTTGCATTCAACTCACAGAGTTGATCCTTCCTTTTAATAGGGCAGTTTTGCAACACTCTTTTTGTAGAATGCACCAGTGGGCTTTTGGAGCACGTCAAGGGCTATGGTGAAAAAGGAAATATCTTCACATAAAAACTAGACCGAAGTATTCTGTAAAACTCCTTTGTGATGTTTGCATTCAACTCAGAAAGTTGAACTTCTCTTTATATAGTCCAGTTTTCAAACACTATTTTTGTAGCATCTGCAAGTGGATACTGGGACTGCTTTGAGGCCTTCGTTGGAAACGGGATTACCTTCACATAGAAACTAGACTGAAGGATTCTTAGAAACTTCTTTGTGATGTGTGCCTTCAACTCACCGAGTGGAACCTCACTTTTGATAGAGCAGAGTTGAAAGACACTTGTTGTAGAATCTGCAGGTGGATATTTGGAGTGCTTTGAAGCCTTCCTTGGAAACGGGAATATCTTCACATAAAAACTAGACATAAGCATTCTCAGAAACTCCTTTGTGATCTGTCCATTCAGCTCACAGAGTTGAACCTTCCTTTTGATAGAGCAGTTTTGAAACACTCTTTCTGTAGAGTCTGCAAGTGGATATCAGGAGCGCTTTGAGGCCTATGGTAGAAAAAGAAATATCTGCATATAAAAACTAGACAGAAGCATTCTCAGAAACTTCTTTGTGATGTTTGCATTCAACTACCAGAGTTGAACCTTCCTTTTGATAGAGCAGTTTTGAAACACTCTTTTTGTAGAATCTGCATGTGGATATCTGGAGCGATTTTTGAGTCCTATGGTCAAAAAGGAAATATCTTCCTATGAAAAATAGACAAAAGCATTCTCACAAAGTGCTTTGTGATATGTGCATTCGACTCACCGAGTTGAAACTTTTTTATGATAGAGCAGTTTTGAAACACTCTGTAGAATCTGAAAGTGGATATTTGGAGCTCTTCGAGGGCTATGGCGGAAAAGAAAATATATTCACATTAAACTAGACAGCAGCATTCTCAGAAACATCTTTAGGATGTTTGCAGTAAACTCACAGAGTTGAACATACCTTTCCGTAAAGCAGTTTTGAAACCCTCTGTTTGTGGGATCTGCAAGTGGATATTTGGACCGCTTTGAGACCTTTGCTGGAAATGGGAATATCTTCACATATAAACTAGACAGAAGCATTCTCGGAAACTTCTTCATGATGTGTGCATTCTGCTCCCAAAGTTGAACCTTCCTTTTCATAAAGCAGTTTTGAAACACTCTTTTGTACAATCTACCATTGGATATGTGGAAGGCTTTGATGCCCATGGTAGAAAAGGATACATCCTCATATGAAAATCTAGACAGAAGGATTCACAGAAACTGCTGTGTGATGTGTGCATCCAAATCACGGAGTTGAACTTTTCTTTTGTTAGAGCAGTTTTGAAACCCCGTTTCCGTGGAATCTGCCAGTGGACATTTGGAGCGCATTGAGGGCTATGGTGGAGAAGGAAATATCTTCACATAAAAACTAGAAAGAAGCATTCTCAGAAACATCTATGTGAAGTGTGCATTCAACTCACAGAGTTGAACCTTCCTTTTGATAGAAGAGTTTTGAAACACTCTTTTGTACAATTGCAGGTGAATATTTGGAGCGCTTTGAAGCCTTTGTTGGAAATGGGAATATCCTCACATAAAAACTAGCCAGAAGCATTCTCAGAAACTTCTTTGTGATGTGTGCATTGAACCCAGAGACATGAACCTTTCCTTTGATAGAGCAGTTTTGAAACGTGTTTCTGTAAGATCTGCAAGTGGATATTTGGGGCGCTTTGAGTCCTTTGGTGGAAACGGGAATATCTTCTAATAAAAACTAGACAGTATTATTCTCAGAATCTTCTTTGTGATGTGGGCATTCAACTAACACAGTTGAACATGTCTTTTGACAGAGCAGTTCTGAAACACTCTTTTTGTAGAATCCGCCAGTGGATATTTGGAGCGCTTTGAGGGGTATTGTGCAAATGGAAATATCTTCACCTAAAAACTAGACCGAAGCAATCCCAGAAACTACTTTGTGATGTTTGCATTCAACTCACAGAGTTGAACCTACCTCTTCATAGAGCAGTTTGGAAAACCTCTTTTTGTAGAATCTGCAAGTGGATATTTGGACCACTTTGAGGCCTTCATAGGAAACAGTACTATCTTCACATAAAAACTAGGTAGAAGCATTCTCAGAAACTTCTTTGTGATGTGTGAATTCAACTCACAGAGTTGAACCTTCCTTTAATACAGCAGTTTTGAAACACTCTTTTTGTAGAATCTGCCAGTAGATATTTGGAGCGCTTTGAGGCCTTCGTTGGAAACCGGAATATCTTCACATAAAAAGTAGATAGAGGCATTCTAAGAAACATTTTTGTGATATGTAGATTCAACTCACAGCGTTGAACCTTTCTTTTGATAGAGCAGTTTTGAAAAACTCTTTTATCGAATCTGCAAGTAGACATTTGGAGTGCTTTGAGGGCTGTGGTCGAAAAGGAAATATCTTCACATAGAAACTAGACTGAAGCATTCTCAGCAACTTCTTTGTGACGTTTGCATTCATCTCACAGTGTTGAACATACCTTTTCATAGAGTAGTTTTGAAACACTATTTTTGTAGAATCTGCAAGTGGATATTTGGACTGCATTGAGGCCTTCATTGGAAACGGGAATGTCTTCACATAAACACTAGACAGAAGAATTCTGAGAAACTTCCTTCTGATGTGTGCGTTCATCTCACAGAGTCGAACAATTGTTTTGATTGAGCAGTTTGGAAACACTCTTTTTGTAGAATCTGCAAGTGGACATTTGGAGTGCTTTGTAGCCTACGGCAGAAAAGGTAATGTCTTCACATGAAATCTAGACAGAAGCATTCTCAGAAACATCTTTGTGATGTTGCATTCAACTCACAGAGTTGATCCTTCCTTTTAATAGGGCAGTTTTGCAACACTCTTTTTGTAGAATGCACCAGTGGGCTTTTGGAGCACGTCAAGGGCTATGGTGAAAAAGGAAATATCTTCACATAAAAACTAGACAGAAGTATTCTGTAAAACTCCTTTGTGATGTTTGCATTCAACTCAGAAAGTTGAACTTCTCTTTATATAGTCCAGTTTTCAAACACTATTTTTGTAGAATCTGCAAGTGGATACTGGGACTGCTTTGAGGCCTTCGTTGGAAACGGGATTATCTTCACATAAAAACTAGACTGAAGGATTCTTAGAAACTTCTTTGTGATGTGTGCATTCAACTCACCGAGTGGAACCTCACTTTTGATAGAGCAGTGTTGAAAGACACTTGTTGTAGAATCTGCAGGTGGATATTTGGAGTGCTTTGAAGCCTTCCTTGGAAACGGGAATATCTTCACATAAAAACTAGACATAAGCATTCTCAGAAACTCCTTTGTGATCTGTCCATTCAGCTCACAGAGTTGAACCTTCCTTTTGATAGAGCAGTTTTGAAACACTCTTTCTGTAGTGTCTGCAAGTGGATATCAGGAGCGCTTTGAGGCCTAGGCAGAAAAAGAAATATCTGTATATAAAAACTAGACAGAAGCATTCTGAGAAACTTCTTTGTGATGTTTGCATTCAACTACCAGAGTTGAACCTTCCTTTTTGATAGAGCAGTTTTGAAACACTCTTTGTGTAGAATCTGCATGTGGATATCTGGAGCAGATTTGAGGCCTATGGTCAAAAAGGAAATATCTTCCTATGAAAAACAGACAAAAGAAATCTGAGAAAATACTTTTTGATGTGTGTGTTCATCTCACAGACTTGAATCTTTTTTTTGATTGAGCAGTTTGGAAATACTCTGTTTTCTAGAATCTGCAAGTGGACATTTGGAACGCTTTGCGGCTTAAGGTAGAAAAGGAAATATCTTCAAATAAAATCTAGACAGAAGCATCCTCAGAAACTTCTTTATGATGTTTGCATTAAACTCACAGAGTTGAACATACCTTTCCATAGAGCAGTTTTGAAACACTCTTTTTGAGGAATCCGCAAGTGGATATTTGGACCGCTTTGAGACCTTTGCTGGAAATGGGAATATCTTCACATATAAACTAGACAGAAGCATTCTCGGAAACTTCTTCGTGATGTGTGCATTCTGCTCCCAAAGTTGAACCTTCCTCTTCATAAAGCAGTTTTGAAACACTCTTTTGTACAATCTACCATTGGATATGTGGAAGGCTTTGATGCCCATGGTGGAAAAGGAAACATCCTCATATAAAATCTAGACAGAAGGATTCACAGAAACTGCTGTGTGATGTGTGCATCCAAATCACGGAGTTGAACTTTTCTTTTGTTAGAGCAGTTTTGAAACCCTGTTTCCGTGGAATCTGCCAGTGGACATTTGGAGCACATTGAGGGCTATGGTGGAGAAGGAAATATCTTCACATAAAAACTAGAAAGAAGCATTCTGAGAAACATCTATGTGAAGTGTGCATTCAACTCACGGAGTTGAACCTTCCTTTTGATAGAACAGTTTTGAAACATTCTTTTGTACAATTTCAGGTGAATATTTGGAGCGCCTTTAAGCCTTTGTTGGAAATGGGAATATCTTCACATACAAACTAGCCAGAAGCACTCTCAGAAACTTCTTTGTGATGTGTGCATTGAACCCAGAGAGATGAACCGTTCCTTTGAGAGAGCAGTTTTGAAACGTGTTTTTGTAAGATCTGCAAGTGGATATTTGGGGCGTTTTGAGCCCTTAGGTGGAAACGGGAATATCTTCGAATAAAAACTAGACAGAAATATTCTCAGAATCTCCTTTGTGATGTGGGCATTCAACTAACACAGTTGAACATTTCTTTTCACAGAGCAGTTTTGAAACACTCTTTTGGTAGAATCTGCATGTGGATATTTGGAGCGCTTGGAGGGCTATTGTGCCAATGGAAATATCTGCCCCTGAAAACTAGACAGAAGCAATCCCAGAAACTACTTTGTGATGTTTGCATTCAACTCACAGAGTTGAACCTACCTCTTCATAGAGCAGTTTGGAAAACCTCTTTTTGTAGAATCTGCAAGTGGATATTTGGACCACTTTGAGGCCTTCATAGGAAACAGTACTATCTTCACATAAAAACTAGGTAGAAGCATTCTCAGAAACTTCTTTGTGATGTGTGAATTCAACTCACAGAGTTGAACCTTCCTTTAATAGAGCAGTTTTGAAACACTCTTTTTGTAGAATCTGCAAGTAGATATTTGGAGAGCTTTGAGGCCTTCGTTGGAAACTGGAATATCTTCACATAAAAAGTAGATAGAGGCATTCTCAGAAATTTTTCTGTGATATGTAGATTCAACTCACAGCGTTGAACCTTTCTTTTGATAGAGCAGTTTTGAAAAACTCTTTTATCGAATCTGCAAGTAGACATTTGGAGTGCTTTGAGGGCTGTGGTCGAAAAGGAAATATCTTCACATGGAAACTAGACTGAAGCATTCTCAGCAACTTCTTTGTGTCGTTTGCATTCATCTCACAGTGTTGAACATACCTTTTCATAGAGCAGTTTTGAAACACTCTTCTTGTAGAATCTGCAATTGGATATTTGGACTGCGTTGAGACCTCCACTGGAAACGGGAATATCTCCACATAAACACTAGATAGAAGCATTCTCTGAAACTTCTTTGTGATGTGTGTATTCAACTCACAGAGTTGAACCATCTTTTTTATGGAGCGGTTTTGAAACAGTGTTTTTTGTAGAATCAGCAATTGGATATTGGGAGCGCTTTGAGGCCTCTGGTGGAAAGGGAATGTCTTCACATAAAAACTGGACAGAAGCATTCTCAGAAACATCTTTGTGATGTTTGCATTCAACTCACAGAGTTGATCCTTCCTTTTAATAGGGCAGTTTTGCAACACTCTTTTTGTAGAATGCACCAGTGGGCTTTTGGAACACGTCAAGGGCTATGGTGAAAAAGGAAATATCTTCACATAAAAACTAGAGAGAAAGTATTGTGTAAAACTCCTTTGTGATGTTTGCATTCAACTCAGAAAGTTGAACTTCTCTTTATATAGTCCAGTTTTCAAACACTATTTTTGTAGAATCTGCAAGTGGATACTGGGACTGCTTTGAGGCCTTCATTGGAAACGGGATTATCTTCACATAAAAACTAGACTGAAGGATTCTTAGAAACTTCTTTGTGATGTGTGCATTCAACTCACCGAGTGGAACCTCACTTTTGATAGAGCAGTGTTGAAAGACACTTGTTGTAGAATCTGCAGGTGGATATTTGGAGTGCTTTGAAGCCTTCCTTGGAAACGGGAATATCTTCACATAAAAACTAGACATAAGCATTCTCTGAAACTTCTTTGTGATGTGTCTATTCAACTCACAGAGTTGAACCTTCCTTTTTATGGAGCAGTTTTGAAACACTGTTTTTGGAGAATCTGCAAGTGGATATTTGGAGCGCTTTGAGGCCTATGGTAGAAAAAGAAATATCTTCATTTAAATAGTAGACAGAAGCATTCTGAGAAACTTCTTTGTGATGTTTGCATTCAACTACCAGAGTTGAACCTTCCTTTTGATAGAGCAGTTTTGAAACACTCTTTGTGTAGAATCTGCATGTGGATATCTGGAGCGATTTGAGGCCTATGGTCAAAAAGGAAATATCTTCCTATGAAAAACAGACAAAAGCATTCTCAGAAACTACTTTGAGATATGTGCATTTAACTCACAGAGTTGAAACTTTTTTTTGATAGAGCAGTTTTGAAACACTCTGTAAAATCTGAAAGTGGATATTTGGAGCTATTTGAGGGCTATGGTGGTAAAGAAAATATATTCCCATTAAACTAGACAGAAGCATCCTCAGAAACTTCTTTATGATGTTTGCATTAAACTCACAGAGTTGAACATACCTTTCCATAGAGCAGTTTTGAAACACTCTTTTTGGGGAATCCGCAAGTGGATATTTGGACCGCTTTGAGACCTTTGCTGGAAATGGGAATATCTTCACATATAAACTAGACAGAAGCATTCTCGGAAACTTCTTCGTGATGTGTGCATTCTGCTCCCAAAGTTGAACCTTCCTCTTCATAAAGCAGTTTTGAAACACTCTTTTGTACAATCTACCATTGGATATGTGGAAGGCTTTGATGCCCATGGTAGAAAAGGATACATCCTCATATAAAATCTAGACAGAAGGATTCACAGAAACTGCTGTGTGATGTGTGCATCCAAATCACGGAGTTGAACTTTTCTTTTGTTAGAGCAGTTTTGAAACCCTGTTTCCGTGGAATCTGCCAGTGGACATTTGGAGCGCATTGAGGGCTATGGTGGAGAAGGAAATATCTCCACATAAAAACTAGAAAGAAGCATTCTCAGAAACATCTATGTGAAGTGTGCATTCAACTCACAGAGTTGAACCTTCCTTTTGATAGAAGAGTTTTGAAACACTCTTTTGTACAATTGCAGGTGAATATTTGGAGCGCTTTGAAGCCTTTGTTGGAAATGGGAATATCCTCACATAAAAACTAGCCAGAAGCATTCTCAGAAACTTCTTTGTGATGTGTGCATTGAACCCAGAGAGATGAACCGTTCCTTTGAGAGAGCAGTTTTGAAACGTGTTTTTGTAAGATCTGCAAGTGGATATTAGGGGCGCTTTGAGTCCTTAGGTGGAAACGGGAATATCTTCGAATAAAAACTAGACAGAATTATTCTCAGAAACTTCTTTGTGATGTGGGCATTCAACTAACACAGTTGAACATGTCTTTTGACAGAGCAGTTCTGAAACACTCTTTTTGTAGAATCCGCCAGTGGATATTTGGAGCGCTTTGAGGGCTATTGTGCAAATGGGAATATCTTCACCTAAAAACTAGACCGAAGCAATCCCAGAAACTACTTTGTGATGTTTGCATTCAACTCACAGAGTTGAACCTACCTCTTCATAGGGCAGTTTGGAAAACCTCTTTTTGTAGAATCTGCAAGTGGATATTTGGACCACTTTGAGGCCTTCATAGGAAACAGTACTATCTTCACATAAAAACTAGGTAGAAGCATTCTCAGAAACTTCTTTGTGATGTGTGAATTCAACTCACAGTGTTGAACCTTCCTTTAATAGAGCAGTTTTGAAACACTCTTTTTGTAGAATCTGCCAGTAGATATTTGGAGCGCTTTGAGGCCTTCGTTGGAAACCGGAATATCTTCACATAAAAAGTAGATAGAGGCATTCTCAGAAACTTTTTTGTGATATGTAGATTCAACTCACAGCGCTGAACCTTTCTTTTGATAGAGCAGTTTTGAAAAACTCTTTTATCGAATCTGCAAGTAGACATTTGGAGTGCTTTGAGGGCTGTGGTCGAAAAGGAAATATCTTCACATAGAAACTAGACTGAAGCATTCTCAGCAACTTCTTTGTGACGTTTGAATTCATCTCACAGTGTTGAACATACCTTTTCATAGAGCAGTTTTGAAACACTATTTTTGTAGAATCTGCAATTGGATATTTGGACAGCGTTGAGGCCTTCAATGGAAACGGGAATATCTTCACATAAAAACTAGACAGAAGCATTCTCTGAAACTTCTTTGTGATGTGTGTATTCAACTCACAGAGTTGAACCATCTTTTTTATGGAGCAGTTTTGAAACAGTGTTTTTGTAGAATCAGCAAGTGGATATTGGGAGCGCTTTGAGGCCTCTGGTGGAAAGGGAATGTCTTCACATAAAAACTGGACAAAAGCATTCTCAGAAACATCTTTGTGATGTTTGCATTCAACTCACAGAGTTGATCCTTCCTTTTAATAGGGCAGTTTTGCAACACTCTTTTTGTAGAATGCACCAGTGGGCTTTTGGAGCACGTCAAGGGCTATGGTGAAAAAGGAAATATCTTCACATAAAAACTAGACAGAAGTATTCTGTAAAACTCCTTTGTGATGTTTGCATTCAACTCAGAAAGTTGAACTTCTCTTTATATAGTCCAGTTTTCAAACACTATTTTTGTAGAATCTGCAAGTGGATACTGGGACTGCTTTGAGGCCTTCGTTGGAAACGGGTATCTTCACATAAAAACTAGACTGAAGGATTCTTAGAAACTTCTTTTTGATGTGTGCATTCAACTCACCGAGTGGAACCTCACTTTTGATAGAGCAGTGTTGAAAGACACTTGTTGTAGAATCTGCAGGTGGATATTTGGAGTGCTTTGAAGCCTTCCTTGGAAACGGGAATATCTTCACATAAAAACTAGACATAAGCATTCTCAGAAACTCCTTTGTGATCTGTCCATTCAGCTCACAGAGTTGAACCTTCCTTTTGATAGAGCAGTTTTGAAACACTCTTTCTGTAGAGTCTGCAAGTGGATATCAGGAGCGCTTTGAGACCTATGGCAGAAAAAGAAATATCTGGCTCTAAAAACTAGACAGAAGCATTCTGAGAAACTTCTTTGTGATGTTTGCATTCAACTACCAGAGTTGAACCTTCCTTTTGATAGAGCAGTTTTGAAACATTCTTTGTGTAGAATCTGCATGTGGATATCAGGAGCGCTTTGAGGCCTATGGCAGAAAAAGAAATATCTGGCTCTAAAAACTAGACAGAAGCATTCTCAGAAACTACTTTGAGATATGTGCATTCAACTCACAGAGTTGAAACTTTTTTTTGATAGAGCAGTTTTGAAACACTCTGTAGAATCTGAAAGTGGATATTTGGAGCTTTTTGAGGGCTATGGTGGAAATGAAAATATATTCCCATTAAACTAGACAGAACCATCCTCAGAAACTTCTTTATGATGTTTGCATTAAACTCACAGAGTTGAACATACCTTTCCATAGAGCAGTTTTGAAACACTCTTTTTGGGGAATCCGCAAGTGGATATTTGGACCGCTTTGAGACCTTTGCTGGAAATGGGAATATCTTCACATATAAACTAGACAGAAGCATTCTCGGAAACTTCTTCGTGATGTGTGCATTCTGCTCCCAAAGTTGAACCTTCCTCTTCATAAAGCAGTTTTGAAACACTCTTTTGTACAATCTACCATTGGATATGTGGAAGGCTTTGATGCCCATGGTAGAAAAGGAAACATCCTCATATAAAATCTAGACAGAAGGATTCACAGAAACTGCTGTGTGATGTGTGCATCCAAATCACGGAGTTGAACTTTTCTTTTGTTAGAGCAGTTTTGAAACCCCGTTTCCGTGGAATCTGCCAGTGGACATTTGGAGCGCATTGAGGGCTATGGTGGAGAAAGAAATATCTTCACATAAAAACTAGAAAGAAGCATTCTCAGAAACACCTATTTGAAGTGTGCATTCAACTCACAGAGTTGAACCTTACTTTTGACAGAACAGTTTTGAAACTCACTTTTGTACAATTGCAGGTGAATATTTGGAGCGCCTTGAAGCCTTTGTTGGAAGTGGGAATATCTTCACATACAAACTAGCCAGAAGCACTCTCAGAAACTTCTTTGTGATGTGTGCATTGAACCCAGAGAGATGAACCGTTCCTTTGAGAGAGCAGTTTTGAAACGTGTTTTTGTAAGATCTGCAAGTGGATATTTGGGGCGCTTTGAGCCCTTAGGTGGAAACGGGAATATCTTCGAATAAAAACTAGACAGAATTATTCTCAGAATCTTCTTTGTGATGTGGGCATTCAACTAACACAGTTGAACATTTCTTTTGACAGAGCAGTTCTGAAACACTCTTTTTGTAGAATCCGCCAGTGGATATTTGGAGCGCTTTGAGGGCTATTGTGCAAACGGAAATATCTTCACCTAAAAACTAGACCGAAGCAATCCCAGAAACTACTTTGTGATGTTTGCATTAAACTCATAGAGTTGAACCTACCTCTTCATAGAGCAGTTTGGAAAACCTCTTTTTGTAGAATCTGCAAGTGGATATTTGGACCACTTTGAGGCCTTCATAGGAAACAGTACTATCTTCACATAAAAACTAGGTAGAAGCATTGTCAGAAAGTTCTTTGTGATGTGTGAATTCAACTCACAGAGTTGAACCTTCCTTTAATAGAGCAGTTTTGAAACACTCTTTTTGTAGAATCTGCAAGTAGATATTTGGAGCGCTTTGAGGCCTTCGTTGGAAACCGGAATATCTTCACATAAAAAGTAGATAGAGGCATTCTCAGAAACTTTTTTGTGATATGTAGATTCAACTCACAGCGCTGAACCTTTCTTTTGATAGAGCAGTTTTGAAAAACTCTTTTATCGAATCTGCAAGTAGACATTTGGAGTGCTTTGAGGGCTGTGGTCGAAAAGGAAATATCTTCACATAGAATCTAGACTGAAGCATTCTCAGCAACTTCTTTGTGACGTTTGCATTCATCTCACAGTGTTGAACATACCTTTTCATAGAGCAGTTTTGAAACACTCTTTTTGTAGAATCTGCAATTGGATATTTGGACTGCGTTGAGGCCTTCACTGGAAACGGGAATATCTTCACATAAACACTAGACAGAAGCATTCTCTGAAACTTCTTTGTGATGTGTGTATTCAACTCACAGAGTTGAACCATCTTTTTTATGGAGCGGTTTTGAAACAGTGTTTTTGTAGAATCAGCAAGTGGATATTGGGAGCGCTTTGAGGCCTCTGGTGGAAAGGGAATGTCTTCACATAAAAACTGGACAGAAGCATTCTCAGAAACATCTTTGTGATGTTTGCATTCAACTCACAGAGTTGATCCTTCCTTTTAATAGGGCAGTTTTGCAACACTCTTTTTGTAGAATGCACCAGTGGGCTTTTGGAGCACGTCAAGGGCTATGGTGAAAAAGGAAATATCTTCACATAAAAACTAGACAGAAGTATTCTCTAAAACTCCTTTGTGATGTTTGCATTCAACTCAGAAAGTTGAACTTCTCTTTATATAGTCCAGTTTTCAAACACTATTTTTGTAGAATCTGCAAGTGGATACTGGGACTGCTTTGAGGCCTTCGTTGGAAACAGGATTATCTTCTCATAAAAACTAGACTGAAGGATTCTTAGAAACTTCTTTGTGATGTGTGCATTCAACTCACCGAGTGGAACCTCACTTTTGATAGAGCAGTGTTGAAAGACACTTGTTGTAGAATCTGCAGGTGGATATTTGGAGTGCTTTGAAGCCTTCCTTGGAAACGGGAATATCTTCACATAAAAACTAGACATAAGCATTCTCAGAAACTCCTTTGTGATCTGTCCATTCAGCTCACAGAGTTGAACCTTCCTTTTGATAGAGCAGTTTTGAAACACTCTTTCTGTAGAGTCTGCAAGTGGATATCAGGAGCGCTTTGAGGCCTAGGCAGAAAAAGAAATATCTGTATATAAAAACTAGACAGAAGCATTCTGAGAAACTTCTTTGTGATGTTTGCATTCAACTACCAGAGTTGAACCTTCCTTTTGATAGAGCAGTTTTGAAACACTCTTTGTGTAGAATCTGCATGTGGATATCTGGAGCGATTTGAGGCCTATGGTCAAAAAGGAAATATCTTCCTATGAAAAACTGACAAAAGCATTCTCAGAAACTACTTTGAGATATGTGCATTCAACTCACAGAGTTGAAACTTTTTTTTGATAGAGCAGTTTTGAAACACTCTGTAGAATCTGAAAGTGGATATTTGGAGCTATTTGAGGGCTATGGTGGAAAAGAAAATATATTCCCATTAAACTAGACAGAAGCATCCTCAGAAACTTCTTTATGATGTTTGCATTAAACTCACAGAGTTGAACATACCTTTCCATAGAGCAGTTTTGAAACACTCTTTTTGGGGAATCCGCAAGTGGATATTTGGACTGCTTTGAGACCTTTGCTGGAAATGGGAATATCTTCACATATAAACTAGACAGAAGCATTCTCAAGAAACTTCTTCGTGATGTGTGCATTCTACTCCCAAAGTTGAACCTTCCTTTTCATAAAGCATTTTTGAAACACTCCTTTTGTACAATCTACAATTGGATATTTGGAACGCTTTGATGCCCGTGGTAGAAAAGGAAATCTCCTCATATAAAAACTAGACAGAAGGATTCACAGAAACTGCTGTGTGATGTGTGCATCCAAATCACGGAGTTGAACTTTTCTTTTGTTAGAGCAGTTTTGAAACCCTGTTTCCGTGGAATCTGCCAGTGGGCATTTGGAGCGCATTGAGGGCTATGGTGGAGAAGGAAATATCTTCACATAAAAACTAGAAAGAAGCATTCTCAGAAACATCTATGTGAAGTGTGCATTCAACTCACAGAGTTGAACCTTCCTTTTGATAGAAGAGTTTTGAAACACTCTTTTGTACAATTGCAGGTGAATATTTGGAGCGCTTTGAAGCCTTTGTTGGAAATGGGAATATCCTCACATAAAAACTAGCCAGAATCATTCTCAGAAACTTCTTTGTGATGTGTGCATTGAACCCAGAGAGATGAACCGTTCCTTTGAGAGAGCAGTTTTGAAACGTGTTTTTGTAAGATCTGCAAGTGGATATTTGGGGCGCTTTGAGTCCTTAGGTGGAAACGGGAATATCTTCGAATAAAATCTAGACAGAATTATTCTCAGAATCTTCTTTGTGATGTGGGCATTCAACTAACACAGTTGAACATTTCTTTTGACAGAGCAGTTCTGAAACACTCTTTTTGTAGAATCCGCCAGTGGATATTTGGAGCGCTTGGAGGGCTATTGTGCAAATGGAAATATCTTCACCTAAAAACTAGACCGAAGCAATCCCAGAAACTACTTTGTGATGTTTGCATTCAACTCACAGAGTTGAACCTACCTCTTCATAGAGCAGTTTGGAAAACCTCTTTTTGTAGAATCTGCAAGTGGATATTTGGACCACTTTGAGGCCTTCATAGGAAACAGTACTATCTTAACATAAAAACTAGGTAGAAGCATTGTCAGAAAGTTCTTTGTGATGTGTGAATTCAACTCACAGAGTTGAACCTTCCTTTAATAGAGCAGTTTTGAAACACTCTTTTTGTAGAATCTGCCAGTAGATATTTGGAGCGTTTTGAGGCCTTCATTGGAAACCGGAATATCTTCACATAAAAAGTAGATAGAGGCATTCTCAGAAACTTTTTTGTGATATGTAGATTCAACTCACAGCGCTGAACTTTTCTTTTGATAGAGCAGTTTTGAAAAACTCTTTTATCGAATCTGCAAGTAGACATTTGGAGTGCTTTGAGGGCTGTGGTCGAAAAGGAAATATCTTCACATAGAAACTAGACTGAAGCATTCTCAGCAACTTCTTTGTGACGTTTGCATTCATCTCACAGTGTTGAACATACCTTTTCATAGAGCAGTTTTGAAACACTATTTTTGTAGTATCTGCAAGTGGATATTTGGACTGCTTTGAGGCCTTCATTGGAAACGGGAATATCTTCACATAAACACTAGACAGAAGCATTCTCTGAAACTTCTTTGTGATGTGTGTATTCAACTCACAGAGTGGAACCATCTTTTTTATGGAGCGGTTTTGAAACAGTGTTTTGGTAGAATCAGCAATTGGATATTTGGAGCGCTTTGAGGCCTCTGGTGGAAAGGGAATGTCTTCACATAAAAACTGGACAGAAGCATTCTCAGAAACATCTTTGTGATGTTTGCATTCAACTCACAGAGTTGATCCTTCCTTTTAATAGGGCAGTTTTGCAACATTCTTTTTGTAGAATGCACCAGTGGGCTTTTGGAGCACGTCAAGGGCTATGGTGAAAAAGGAAATATCTTCACAAAAAACCAGACAGAAGTATTCTGTAAAACTCCTTTGTGATGTTTGCATTCAACTCAGAAAGTTGAACTTCTCTTTATATAGTCCAGTTTTCAAACACTATTTTTGTAGAATCTGCAAGTGGATACTGGGACTGCTTTGAGGCTATCGTTGGAAACAGGATTATCTTCACATAAAAACTAGACTGAAGGATTCTTAGAAACTTCTTTGTGATGTGTGCATTCAACTCACCGAGTGGAACCTCACTTTTGATAGAGCAGTGTTGAAAGACACTTGTTGTAGAATCTGCAGGTGGATATTTGGAGTGCTTTGAAGCCTTCCTTGGAAACGGGAATATCTTCACATAAAAACTAGACATAAGCATGCTCAGAAACTCCTTTGTGATCTGTCCATTCAGCTCACAGAGTTGAACCTTCCTTTTGATAGAGCAGTTTTGAAACACTCTTTCTGTAGAGTGTGCAAGTGGATATCAGGAGCGCTTTGAGGCCTATGGCAGAAAAAGAAATATCTGGCTCTAAAAACTAGACAGAAGCATTCTGAGAAACTTCTTTGTGATGTTTGCATTCAACTACCAGAGTTGAACCTTCCTTTTGATAGAGCAGTTTTGAAACACTCTTTGTGTAGAATCTGCATGTGGATATCAGGAGCGCTTTGAGGCCTATGGCAGAAAAAGAAATATCTGGCTCTAAAATCTAGACAGAAGCATTCTCAGAAACTACTTTGTGTTATGTGCATTCCACTCACAGAGTTGAAACTTTTTTTTGATAGAGCAGTTTTGAAACACTTTGTAGAATCTGAAAGTGGATATTTGGAGCTCTTTGAGGGCTATGGTAGAAAAGAAAATATATTCACATTAAACTAGACAGAAGCATTCTCAGAAACTTCTTTATGATGTTTGCATTAAACTCACAGAGTTGAACATACCTTTCCATAGAGCAGTTTTGAAACACTCTTTTTGTGGAATCCGCAAGTGAATATTTGGACCGCTTTGAGACCTTCGCTGGAAATGGGAATATTTTCACATATAAACTGGACAGAAGCATTCTCGGAAACTTCTTCGTGATGTGTGCATTCTGCTCCCAAAGTTGAACCTTCCTTTTCATAAAGCAGTTTTGAAACACTCTTTTGTACAATCTACCATTGGATATGTGGAAGGCTTTGATGCCCATGGTAGAAAAGGAAACATCCTCATATAAAATCTAGACAGA